>NC_000005.10:25762366-26065396 GCF_000001405.40 Homo sapiens | reverse complement strand
AATGGTGGAAACATGAAGAGGGAGTGAAGGGTGAGTTTAGTATGCGGAGGTAGCATACCACTGATTTTTAAGGGGTGGTGTGACCTAGACTAACAGGAAGGTACTTTAGTGATCTTCAATCATTTGGAAAGCAGGACATTTTTGTTGTTGTCATTGTTCTATTCTCAGTCCCATTCATTGCTTCTGTTGACTTACATTGTCTTGAATGTCTACAATTTATTTATTGTGTGGCTTTGGGATATCAAATGTAAAGCAGGTATTTGGGAACATGAAAAGATGATTTTCCAACAGACTTATAGGCAAATGAGAAATAAAAGCTAGTGAATAGCTTTTTGCAATATATACTTATATAAAAACTTGTGAAGTATTAACTTATGCATGTGTTTCTTTTCTACTTTTGTTTCATTTATACCACAAATGAAGAATCATTTGAGAACAACAACAAAAAAAAAGGCAATTAAATTCTGGCTCTTGATTTCACAAGCAGGAACAAAGCTGTAAGAGTTGGTTTTGGCATAAAATTATAGGTTTCATAAGAATACATTTTATGGTCCAAAGTACATAAAGTACTATGTAAAGGTATCTTATGCTTGGGGATATGAAAGAAAGGAAACACAAGAGTAAGAGGCTAGTGAAATACTCTGAGGAAAATCCCTCAGTTTGAGTACCAGAGAGCTACATTGCTGAAGGAAGAGGACAATTGTATGTCAAAGACATTAGAGGAGTTAAATATTTCTCCCACATCACCAACGGGGTCAGGCATTCAATAGATTCACGGTAAGAAAATTTGTTGTTGTGGTTGTTGCTTTCTCACAATAATATAAACTCCTAGGAAACAAAAATATTTCTTCCATCTTTACATCAACTATGCCTACTACATGGCTGGATCAATATTTGCTAAATAAGTTCCAAATACATGAATGTCAGTATAGAGTTATAAATTCAATGTCTACACATTTCATAGAATTCTAGTATTTGAGAGAAGAAAAAAAATCTTAATTTTGGTGTTTACAACAAATTATAGTAGTCTCTTTTAAAAACTGAACTATTTTAGGCAAACAACATATCATATTTGCTTTATTTTCTTATGTGACAAAATTTTCATTAAGCTAAATGCAGAGTGCAATGTAATAAAAATCTATATTTCTCCTAGTCACATAGGTTCAGAGATGTGTTGCCATCTATAACATCAACAGTATGAATAGTGTGAGTAATTAGAAAATAAATTACATAACTAATTATGACCAGCCCATTGCAAGGGGAACATGTCTAAGGCCTAGTATATTAGTGAAACAGTGGTGTATGGGAAAACTGAGATTACTAAATGGCAGAATCACAATTAAATACAAAAATAACAAATTAAAAGTAGCCAGTAAACATTTACGAAAGCAGAAAAATAATTATTTGATTCAAACTTTTGTGTTTGTCTTTCTCCTGTAGTTTCTTTAATTTATTCAAACCTAAAATTAAAACATTTCTCAAATACAAAAATATATTCCATCTATAAAAATACAACTGCTGGATGTGGATTATCATTTACCAGAACCCTTTAAATGCTTACAAGTTGTTTGTTATTAATGTTTCATTTCTGCTAACCAGTGTAATATAACAATATGTTTATAATCTTTAAAAGCAAAAATGTTGAGCATTATAATCAATCGAACTTAATTAAAAGCAATTCATTGAGCACTTATTATCTGCTTAAATATATTATTTACCTTTCCCTTTCCCCAGTCTTAGGTATGTTAGGGCTTGCTATTATATGAAATCACTGTTTCATGTTACACCATATTTGTAACAACACTTGTTCAAAGTATGTTTCTTCTAAGGATTCTAAATGTCACTGTAGCAATGGACAGCCATATCTACATTTTAGTGTAATGCAAGAGATGTATTACAAATTAACTTCTTGTTTTTGTAAGACTAGTGATTATACTGAAGTTATGAGAGTAATCCAAGTGCTAAACGCCATACAAAACCAACCTCCAAGTAGTTTATAATCTAAAATAAATGATTACGGCAACACAAACAGAATATGTGTTGCACGCTAGATGTAAAGACCAGTGTTCTAGTAAAGGTAGAAGAAAGATAATTTGACAGCACATAAAAAGTTAACTATTCTTAAAAGACATGTTCTTAGAAGTTAAAATGGGAATTTTAGTGGATTCAAAAAGCAGAATTTGTCAGGGTGCAGTGGCTCATGCCTGTAATCCCAGCACTTTGGGAGGTTGGGGAGGGTGGATCACTTGAGGTCAGGAGTTCAAGACCAGCCTGGCCAACATGGTGAAACCCCATCTCCACTAAAAAATACAAAAATTAACTGGGGGTGGTTGTGCGTGCCTGTAGTCCCAGCTACTCTTGAGGCTGAGAGAGGAGAATTGCTTAAACCCAGGAGGCAGAGCTTGCAGTGAGCTGAGATCATGCCATTGCACTCCAGCCTGGGCGACAGAGCGAGGCTCCAATCTGGGGTAGTGGGGGGAAGCAGAATTTGAAAAGCCAAAATGTACAAAAGTGTTCTAAGATAAAAGTATTATAACAAATGAAGGATCAACCATGTCCTCTATGATTTAACTCTGGGTTAATATGTAAACACTGGATAAATGGGAGTTGGTGTTATAGAAACATCTTGAAGTCCATATCAGATTCAGGAATGTCATGAATAGCAAGGTAAATGGTTTGTACTTGTTTCTTTCACGTTTTGGAAACCAAAGCTTGTTTTGTCTTTTTTATTGAAATGAGACTTTGGGAGATAAATATCTGAAGTATTGTTCACAGCAATATACTTGCTTGATAAATGGCAACCAAGTATTATTTACTTGTTTTATTTATAAACCACTTATTTTTATTTTTATAAAGGCAATATTTTTTCTTTATTTTTGTATTATTTCTATCTTCTATCATGTGATAATCAAGTATAAAGGATATAAAATTAATTTAACATATCTACTAAGAAAATGATAGGCAACCAGTGTTAAATTTCTGAAGCTTAAATATTAACACCTAGTTAAATTTCATCCTTTGCTTTTGGACAACAGAGTTTAAGAAAGGCTAATACATAACTTTGATTATGCTTCAGTAAGATTATTGTAGCATATTTATACAATAATTTTTAAATAATGTATTTTTCTTACACATATGACTGTAAGATTTTAGTTTATTCCATTGAATTCTTCCCAAACTCTTTTTTAAAAATTACATTTTGGAGATATCTGAGTCAGAGATTGAAATTAAATGAACAAATTGTCAACAAAGACAAAATTGGCATTCATGTTGTTTGGCTGCTGCCTTGTATAAAAATTATTGAAGCTGCTGATACCAAAGATTCTTGTGTGAGTTTATGACTGGCGATAAAACTACTTAATGTGTGCTTTAAATATGACTTTTAATTCCTTGCACAGTGCAACATAAAATTTTGAACTCTGAAATAAACATTATAGCTTTTACCCAAGAAGAAGTTCCAACCTAAGGTGCCCGTAGCTATTGCATCATGATATTACAAGAGCAAATGTACATTTATATGGCACATTTGTTAACACAAATAGGCTAATTCCCATAGAGCAGAGACTATGTATGTTTTTAGAATAGCCTCATGAGGGAATAGCTTTTTGTCAGAATATTATAATTATAAGCATTAGTAAAACATTATTCTTCATTTAAAAAGAAACATTATTATTGAAAGTATTCATTTTGTTTCTTATTAAATATGTTACCTTTATAATCTCAAAAGAAGATATACAAGTCTAAAATGTAATTCTTGTTCAGGAAATAGACTGGAGATGAATTGAAATTCAAGTCATAGGATAACATCTATTTATTTTTCATGTGTGTTGGTCAAGGGAGGTTGGTCAAAGATTTTACTCATATCCTATTAAAGGCCAATAGAGAGATAATATAGATAATTAAACTCATTTTCTGGTTATTAATTGTTTGTATCACTATTTTGTATATATAAACAGAGATTTCTCAATAATAGTTTCTTCTGTAAATTTGAATCCAAGTGCAGTGAATATTTTAATATCATTTAACAAGAAAAGCCTTCAGGGATCGTAAGTGGCAATTATGCTAACAAGCCACTTAATATTTCAAAGTAAATGAAGCAAACATCATTGTAGTATTTTTAACTTACATGCAGTAGGAAATCTTAAACTTCCTGAGTAAAATTAACTAATTTTTTTACCATAATTGTTTTACTATTATTTATTTTTGAATAGTAATAAATATTTTACATATACAGATAGAAGAATAGAGCAATTTTTCCATTGCTAACAGTAAAAAGAAAATCCCTAAACATATTTATGAAACTGAATCATTTTTGTAGAAAGAACTCTACATTTGTATTAGGGTATTTCAATAATAATCTCTGTATTTCAATCCTGTTTCATCTGGATTATTATAGTAGCTTCCTAATTTGTCTCCCTGCCTTTATCTTTTCTCCTACTGTCTATTCTCTATTACAGGGGTACACAGTTCCTTTTTAAACACCAATATATTCACGCCTGTTTCTTGGCTAACCCCCTATAATGGATTCTCACCATTCTCCGGACTAAAAACTGTACTCTGCTCCCAATAGCCAATATGTTCTGGCCACTGGTTCTTTCTCTGGCCTCATAATCTGTTAAGTCTTGCCACCAGCTCACTCTGTCCCATAAACCCTGGCCTCCTGTTCTTTACTTGGTCATGCCAAGCATGCATAATTTGAGAAAATTCTAGCTAGATTATTTTTATACTTAAAACAGTATTTTTATTGATGGTTTATTGCTTACATTCTATCTCTTTATTACCATTAAAATGTGTCATGACACCAGTGATTTTTGTTTGTTTGTTTTAATTTACATTTTGGTTGTGTTATATTCTGTTTTACTTTGATTTCACTGCACTATACTCAAAACTTATAACAATTCTTGGCAAAAAGTAGGGGTTCAATAAAAATAAATTGAATAAATAAATGCATATCAACATGGGACTAAAATAAGTAATAGGTTATGAGTAGTCAGCATTTTCTCTCTTTCCTTGCCTTTGTATTTTTTAAAAAACTACAATATTAAAATGTATCAAGACTGAATTAGTGTAAAGTTGTAGGAAAGTTGGAAAAAAGATGCATTTCAGAAATAATTCAGAAAATAATTTTAATATTTTAATCACGTTGCAATATTGAACATGATTAGTTACTAATAAATAGTTTTCAGATGCCTATAGAAATGAATAGAATATATTCTGAAAATTGTTAAGTATTTATTAGGTGAATAAGTGGATGTATGGATGGATGGATGGATGGATGGATGGATGGATGGATGAGTGGATGAATGGGTGGACGAATGGGTGGATGAATGGATGGATGAATGGATGGATGAATGGATGGCTAGATGCATAAATGAAGGAATAAGGGGAAAATGAGGAAAAACTTGATGTTTAAACAGATATGTTTTATTTTCCTCTTTTCATCCCACTGGTGAAGGAGATGTCCCTGATCTATGTTAGGGGATGGCTGAAAGCATGACACCTAACACTTTTCAGTTGAGATTGACAGCTTGTTGCTGGTCACAGCTAGAGGTAAGAGGATACTACCACACTCACACTCAAAGCCAGAGGTAAGAGAACACTCACAGCCAGAGGTAAGAGGACATTGCCACACAGGGCCATATGGAGGCTACACTGGAGACCAGAGTAAACAAGCAGGGCATGCAGGAAGCTGGCGTTGTAGTATCAAGAGGGAGGATGTCATTGACTGGAATAATTCTAGGGCTGTCAGAGAACTGAAGTTCACTACTAAGGAATAAGTAGTCAGTGTGTCTTGGTCTCTGTGATGGTTATTTGGGTAGGGAACCTTAGCCACTAGGGCAAAGGAGGTGGAAAACTTGGAATTAGAGCATTTGAAGCTCTCCCAATTTTACTTGATGTCAAGGCAGGACAAAATATTAAATATTAATGTCAGTGTTGTACATAAAGAGAGGCAGAGTAAAATGACTTGATTTTCTGAAATGAGGATGGGGAGAGCATGTATTCTAGGTACTCACACAGAAAAAGGAAGAACTGAGCTGGAATATATGTTAATTGTCAAGCTGTTGACATTATAAAGGTGGTGAGTCTGGGCCTCACTCCCGCTCAGAATAAAGGTTTAGGAGTCTCCATCTAAGGTATTTAGTTCTAATATGAGTAATGGATTTTAGTAGAATAAATGTAGGGTTCATGATAAGCATGGTTAAATGCATACTTTTGGAGCATTAATTCTAGAATTCAAATAACATATTAATGAATTTGTAAGGAGCAGAAATTGTGTTGTGTACTTTATTTCACACACCCAGGCAAAGCTGGGGGCTTTTATTTTCATTATTTTGTGGATAAAAAAAATTGCTAATCAAGCCATCTAAATAACATAGCCAGGATTCTGACAAAATTCTATCATAGACCGGCCAGGCGCGGTGGCTCACGCCTGTAATCCCAGCACTTTGGGAAGCCGAGGAGCGCGGATCACAAGATCAGGAGATCAAGACCATCCTGGCTAACACAGTGAAACCCAGTCTCTACCAAATGTATAAAAAAAATTAGCCGGTCATAGTGGCAGGCGCCTGTAGTCCCAGCTACTCGGGAGACTGAGACAGGAGAATGGCGTGAACCCGGGAGGCGGAGCTTGCAGTGAGCTGAGATCGCGCCACTGCACTCCAGCCTGGGCAACAGAGCAAGACTCCGTCTCAAAAAAAAAAAAAAAAAAAAAAATCTGTCATAGACCAAATCCAGTAACCTTTTTACCAACCCCTAGTTCCCATTAGAGGTTCACTTTAAGTATTTGCAGTATTTAGCCATGAGAAACTATCAATAATTTGCTAAGTGCAAAGTAAATCTCTCCAATTATTAGGATAGTAAAAGGATATAATATTACAACTGTATTTGTAAATACTCAACTGTATTTTTATTATTTTTAATTATAAATGCTAAAAGCTATGATTGAAATAGATATGAGAGTGGGCTGTGAAGGCAAATGAAGCAATACATGTCAGACACTCAGCTAGAGATTATAATGTTATCATTTGTTAAAGTATACATCTTAAAATTTTAAATGCTCATGTAATTATAAAATGGACAAGTGTTAAAATTGTACTTACCTGATTAATGAAGAAACTAAAAGTAGATTAAAACCTGTTCAAAGAGCATTTGAGAAGCTAGGTCTCTATATGTAATGTAATAAAGGAATGTTAAGCTAAGGTTGGGTAAGCTAAGATACAGAATGTTAAACTGAGATTGAAATGTTAACCTAAGGTACCAAACTGGTTAATATCTTACTGAGCAAAAAGAGTAACTTTAAGACTTGTCTTTTCTTCAAGACAAGTAAGAAACTGTCCAGTCAATAGAAAGCCAATTAAAAGTGTAGGCTCTTAAAAAGGGCTGAAAAAACACTCAGGAATTTTTGCCAGTTTATAGGTTTAGTATATTTTTCCAGACACCTTCAATCTTTAAAAAATAAGAAATGAATATATTTGAATATATTCCTCTTCATTTTACATATAAAAAATAAAGCATAAAAATGTGTAAGTAATTTGGCAAAGATTATAGAATAAATAAGATAAAAATATTTAATGTTAATGACATTAATTCCCTCTGCTTTTAAATGTCTTTTTTAAATTATAACAAATTTCTCCATAAACTATCCCTAGACATTGGACAGTCAATAAGCAGAGATAGAGTAGAAGGAAAACCAACAGTTGGGTGGTGGTTGTTTCTGTAACTAGCATGTAAAGGGAGAGTTGTCTTATACATATTTTTTCAAACAAAATACTCGATACCTATTTTAACTCTCTCACTCTCACCTGATAACCTTGCAATAAATAAAAGTCTAAAAGCTCCCAACCATTGATCTACTCTCCTTCACTGTTCTATGCATCTACTCTTTCCTTCGAGATACTATGGAAGAACTGCCCCTTGCTTCAAACAAAGCCCAACCGTTTCATCTGCAACCTAGATCCCATACTTTGTTATCCACTCAAAAGACACTGATCCAGAAGTTTTATCTACTTTATCGTGCATATCGTTTACCTCTCCTTTTTTACCACTGCATGCAGACATAGGGTTATTTCTTTCCCTTTGTTTTCTAAAAATGTTCTTTGACATAATTTTAGCTACATCTATGGGTCTATTTCTTCTTTTTCCTCAAGAAGTAGTACACAATGAAAATAGCATTTATATTAGCTTGCTCCAAATTATTCCTGATATTTTTTCTTGAGCCCCACCTAACAAGGGTTTAATCCCCTCTCCTCTGAAATTATTTTTGCCAAAGTCACAGATAATGTTTAAATTGTAAAATCTGTAGTCAACTTTTCATTTTTTGCCTTACTTGAAACACTGAACCTTAACAGTTCCAGGACACAGAATTCTACTAGTTTACCTTCAGTCTCTCGGTTTCTTTTGCTAATTCCTCCTTTTCTTCCTGATGTATTAATTTAAGAGAACTGGAGAGCTCACACTTATAATAACATCAATAAATTAGTTCAAATTTCTACTGAAGTCTGAATCATTCCCCTGAACTCCAGCCTCATGGATTCAACTCCATACTCAAGGTTTATAGTCCTAGGCCAATCTGGCATCTGCAATCCAAAAGTGAGTGCTGTTTTTTCCTTTACTGTCCCTCCTGCCATCATTTTCATCTAGACTGATAGAAATCCTATATATTTTGTGGGTAAGCCAAATTAATATCAGTCATCCTTGACTTTTCTCTTTCTTACATAACCTGTAGTTAACCCACCAGCATTGTTTTTCTTCTAGCTTCTAAATATATTTAACCTTCAATACTGGAATCTTGTCCAAGTTACAATCACATACTCACTAAATTATTCAATAGCATCTTAAGGTGTCTCCTTGTTTTAATTTCCCTTATTTTTTATTTATTCTCAGTAAAGCAGCCAGAAAAGCATCCCATATATACACTAGGCTTTCTCTTTTTAATGTCCTTGATTGAATTTCCATATCCTTCTGAGTAAAATCAAAGTTTGCAGTCGTAGGCAAGTAACCGCATGGACTGACCTTTCATTATCTCTCTGGCCTCTTTCCTACTTCTCTACCTCTCACTTGTTCTAACTTCCTACTACATCAGTCTCTGGTTTCTACTGAAAAACTGTTTAAATTAACCCAACTCAGTATTAGTGTTTGCTCTTCTCTTTAATGAAATAGTCATTCCCTAGCTATCTACATGGCTTAATCCCTCATTTAATTTTTTGTGTTAATTCAAATATTAACATTTATTGGCAAAGGTTCTTCTAACAATACTATTTATAAGTGAAACTTTCCAATTTTACCTACACTCTTCTCTGCCCTTTTCCCCAATTATCATCAACATACTCTTATATGTATTTTAATCATTACTTTTTACTATCTGCTTGACTTAAATATAAAATGTCTGAATGCAGAAGTTTTGTTCTATATTTATGCATCTTCCACCACAATATTATAGAATAGTGTCTGATTGCTTAACATATCACTGACATTTAATCCATATTTATTCACTATGTTAATTGATATGGTTAGGCTTTGTGTCCCCACCCAAATCTCATCCTGAATTGTAATCCCCATAATCCCCACATGTCAAGGGAGAGAGCTGGTGGGAGGTGATTGGATCATGGGGGCAGTGTTCCCATGCTGTTTTCATGATAGTGAATGAATTCTCACGAGATCTGATGGTTTTATCCTTGTCTGACTGTTCCTCCTTCACACACTCTCTCTGTCACCTGCCACTGCGTAAAATGTGCCTCTTCCCCTTCCACCATGATTGGAAGTTTCCTGAGGCCTCCCCAGCCATGCAGAACTGTGAGTCAATTAAACCTCTTTTTTTTTTTAATAAATTACCCAGTCATGGGCAGTTATTCATAGCAATGTGAGAATGAACTAATACAGTTAATTGATTCTGAGGTAGTGGGGTGCTGCTATAAAGATACTTGAAAATGTGGAAGCAACTTTGGAACTGGGTAACAGGCAAAGGTTTGAACAGTTTGGAAGGCTCAGAAGACATGAAGATGTGTGAAAGTTTGGAACTTTTTAGAGACTCATTCAGTGGGTTTAACCAAAATGCTGATAATCATGTGGATAATGAAGTCTAGGCTGAGGTGGTCTCAGATGGAGATGAGGAACTTCTTGGGAACTGGTGTAAAGGTCACTTTTGCTATGCTTTAGCCAAGAGACTGGAGAAATTTTCCTTGCCCTAGAGATCTGTGGAATTTTGAACTTGAGAGAGATGATTTAGGGTATCTGCCAGAAGACATTTCTAAGCAGCCAAGCATTCAAGATGTGACCCGGTTGATTTTGAAAGCATTCAGTCTAATGTGTTCACAAAGAAATGGTTTGAAATGGAAACATGTTTATATGGGAAGCAGAGTATATAAGTTTGGAAAACGTGCAACCTGACCATGTAGTAGAAAATAATAAACCCATTTTTCTGGGGAAGAATTCAAGCCAGCTGCAGAAATTTGCATAAGTATTGAGGAGCTTAATAGCCAAGACAATGAGGAAAATATCACCAGGGCATGTCAGAGACCTTCATGGCATCTCCTCCCATCTCAGGCTCAAAGGCCCAGGAGGAAAAAATGGTTTCATGGTCCAGGCCCAGGGCCTCACTGCTGCTCTGTGCAGCCTTGGGACTTGGCACCCTGCATTCCAGCCATGGCTAAAGGGGGCCAACGTACAGCTCAGGCCATTGCTTCATAGGGTGCAAGCCCCAGTTGTTGGTGGTTTCCATGTGGTGTTAGGCCTGCAGGTTCACAGAAGTAAAGAATTGAGGTTTGGGAACCTCCATCTGATTTCAGAGGATGTATGGAATCTCCTGGGTGTTGAAGCAGTAGTTTGCTGCAGGGTTGGAGCCCTCATGGAGAACCTCTGCTAGGGAAGTATGGAAGAAAAATGTAGGTTAGAGCCCCCACATAGAGCCCCACTGGGACACTGCCTAGTGGAACTGTGAGAAGAGGGCCATTGTCCCCCAGACCCCAGAACGGTAGACCCACTGACAGCTTGCACCACGCACCTGGAAAAGCTGCAGACACTCAACCCCAGCCTGGGAAATCAATCGGTGGTGGGGCTGTACCCTGCAAAGCCACAGGAGTGAAGCTGCCCAAGACCATGGAAGCCCACCTTTTGCATGAGTGTGACCTGGATGTGAGACATGAAGTCAAAGGAGATCCTTTCAGAGCTTTAAGATTTAGTGACTGACCTACTGGATTTAGGACATGCATGTGGTCTGCAGCCCCTTCATTTTGGCTAATTTCTCTCATTTGGAATGGGAGCATTTATCCAATGCCTATACCCTCATTGTATCTAGGAAGTAACTAACTTGCTTTTGATTTTACAGACTTATAGGTAGAAGGGACTTGCCTTGTCTCAGATGAGACTTTGAACTTGGACTTTTGAGTTAATGCTGAAATGTGCTAAGACTTTGGGGGACTGTTAGGAAGGCATGATTGGTTTTGAAATGTGAGGACATGAGAATTGGGAGGGGACGGGGCAGAATTATATGGTTAGGAATTGTGTCCCCACCCAATCTCATCTTGAATTGCAAACCCCATAATCCCCACACATTGAGGGAGAGACCTGTGGTAGGTGACTGGATCCTGGGGGCAGTGTTCCCATGCTGTTCTAATAATAGTGAGTGAGTTCTTATGAAATCTGATGGTTTTATAAGCGTCTGACATTTCCTTCTACACATATTTACTCTCTTTCACCTGCTGCCATGTAAGATGTGCCTCTTTCCCTTCCATCATGATTGTAAGTTTCCTGAGGCTCCTCCAGTCATGTGAAACTGTTGAGTCAATTAAAACTTTTTTTTTTTCGTAAATTACCCAGTCTTGGGCAGTCCTTTACAGCAATGTGATAACAATACAGTTAATGAACAATGAATGTACGAATAGCATCTAAATCAATAGATAATAGATACTTGTTAAATAAGTTCCTCTGTTTATCATGTCCCTTCTTTCCAAACCAAATATACCTTTCTATATTTCAGGCATTCTAGATGCCATCTTAATTTTCAAGATCAGGATGACAGCAGATCTAAAAAAGTTATATAACCCTCTGCTGAAAATTACTCTTATTTGTTTCTTACTTATGTTTATATGTGTTGCAATTCCTAAGTTACATGAATCTAAAGAAAAATTATCTCATAATGTAATTTAAAATGCTATAACATGTTGCCTAGGATATTGACATCATTGAAAAGGGAGGAGAATCTCTTATTAATTCTAAAATCTTTAAAATGTTCATCTATTAAGGAACATGATTAGGAAAACAGATACTATATAGTTTTTTAACATAATCTGAAAGATCTACAGCTTGGGTGATATAAAGAACACCTCTAGATCCAGACTTACTTGGCCACTTTTGTACCCTCATTCATTTCAAAATAGACCAATGAACAAAAATGAAGCCATCATCTATCTTACTGAATGACAGTACACTTCAATAGAAATGCTATTATACTTTTCTAGGAGTGTGAGTGAAGAGCAGAGTGAAGTTGAGTGTGAGAAGTTTGATAACTCAGGTAAGAGAAAGACAGCATGAATTTCCTTAGAAAAGATAACAACGGGTATGATGAAAAAATGTGGTAAAGGATTTTGCATACACAAAATCCATATTTCCAGAGCCAATTCTATCTTTTGCTCGTATCTGTCAATGAAGATCACTAAAAAAAGTAAGTCAACAAATTGTGAAAACATGTGATCTGAAGTGATGATGATTATGCCCTGTAGAAATGTATTAGAAATTAGAAGAAATTTATTTTTCAGTTCTATAGTTATAATGAAGTTTATTCTCAAGATTTACATATTCACAGTGATCAAACTATAGTACCTTGACTCATAGGACTTTTACTATAGCACCTAGTTTTCTTTTATTTGAAAGAAGACATAAGCAGAATAAAAGAAAAATGGAAAGGTAGTGTCAACTGCCTCTAACCAGTGCTCTCCAAGGGCCTTCTCTCCCACTTCTGTGTTTTTGTTTTTATTTTCAGTTTAAATTCATCATGTCAGATTATAACTGTAGTACTAGCATATCAGAGTTTAAGGTTCATAGATCAGATTTCTTACACATATAGCTATTGGCATATATGTATGATAGTAACTATCCTCACACACATTGTATAATATGTACATTCCAGTGAAAACATCAGAAAGAATCAACACAATGACAAGATAAAATCAGTGGGCATTCCTAGACATATTACAGTTATTTTTTTATTTTATTTTTCTTAAAATTATAAAATTAAAATTAATATTGACAGCCAGAATATAAAAAATCCAGACTTCCTATTGTTTTCCATTAACTATTAACACATTGTAAATTTCACAGCTATGAAGGACACTGTGAATCAATAGTACCAATACCAAGTGGAAAGACCTTTTTTTTTTTTCATTTAATCATCCTACAGTTTTTCATGGATTGTGATGGAATAAATGAAAGGAGTTATTACAAATGATATAAACTGAAAGGCTTCTCACATGAAAAAGTCTTTGAATATTTTCCTAGGAGGAAGAGCGGAAAGTTATTTTTTCCCTTCTGTTTTTATTTTTAATACAGCTCACCTTCAATATGGTCTCTCTTTGGTGGAATAGATTTATGTGGATTGGTGCAATTGGCCATCATGGTTTATATGGTCAGTATTGCAGTCTTAGTTAGTAAATTAGAATATTGTACATATGAAACTGTTGCCAGGAAAGACTACTGATACTTGAGTGTTGTCAGCATTCTTGAAATTTCTTTTTTTTTTTTTGAGACCAAGTCTCACTCTGTCAGCCACGCTTGAGTGCAGAGTTGCAATCTCGGCTCACTGCAACCTCTACCTCCCAGGTTCAAGCAATTCTCCTGCCTCAGCCTCCCGAGTAGCTGGGACTACAGGCGCCCGCCACCATGCCCAGCTAATTTTTGTATTTTTAGTAGAGATGGTGTTTCACCATATTTGTCAGGCTGGTCTCGAACTCCTGACCTTGTGATCCACCCTCCTCTCCCTCCCAAAGTGCTAGGATTACAAGCGTGAGTCACAGTGCCCGGCCCATTCTTGAAATTTCTAACGGTACATTCATAAAAGCATGGACAAAAGAGTTATGATGGGTTGGATCCTTGCTAAAGTATAATCTACTTCCTCTTGCTGACACAACATAGTATTACTGTCGTAAAACAGCACACTTTTGTTATCTTACTGTTCTGAAGATCAGAAATTTAAAATTGGTCTTGTTGGACAAAATCTAAGTTGTCATTGGGGCTGCTTTTCTTTCTGGGGGCTTTAGAGGAGAATACATTTCCTGGCCTTTTCCAGACTCCAGAGGCTATTCACATTCCTTTGGCTCATGGCTTCTTCCACTTTCAAGCCAGGAACAGCCAGTCCAGTATTTATCAGAATGCCATCAACTTCTTGTTCTAACTCTTCTACCTCCTCTTGCTCATTTGATAACTTTCTTCATTATATTGTGTCCATGTGGACGACCCAGGATGAACTCCTTAATTTAAAGTTGGCTGATTGGCAACTTTACTTCCATTTGGTACCTTAGTTCCCCTTTGCCATGTAGCATAATGTATCCACAGGTTCTAGGGATTAGGAAGTGAACTTCTTTGAAAGGGTTATTATTGTCTCTGCTGCATGTGTAAGCAGACAACATCAGCAACAACTGTGAGTGGGGTAGAAATGCAAATTGTTGCCCCACTATCCAAGTCCTACTCATTCAGAATCTGAGAGTAGGACCAAGAGTGTATGTTTTACCCAGAATTCCAGGTTTTAATTAGTTAAACTTAAGTTTGGGAAATAATGGTTATGGAGACATAATTCTCAAGCAGGGACTTCTTTGCCCAACAGTTAACATCCTAAATTAAAATATTAAAATATATTACCTTATATATTTCAGATCTTCTTCCGGCCGTCCCTCTTGTTTTCCATTACTGAACAGAAGTCTCCCTCCAAAACGTCAAATAAATTTTTGTCCTTTTTCTCTGCTTACCTCCCATTCCATGGTTCGCAAAACATATGATTTATTTATTTGTTCTATTTTTAACATTATAGGGGTCACCAGCAGTAATCCCTAGTGTTATCACCCTCTTAAACCAAGATTGCACCATGTAAGTGCTTCTGAAAAGCAAAAGTTATCAGGAATTTTTAATTCAGAGTCTGCTTATTGCTATCACCTGTGTGAATATTGGTTTTGACATTTAAATCACTATTGCCAGAAAGCTGGCATGTACATGTTTATGAATTGTGGCTGGGCATATAAATTTCTTCTTCTGATAGAAATAGCCAAGAAGCCAGAATGAAAACATAATTCAAATCCTGGAAATATTTGTTAAAAAAAAATCTAGTATAAGAATTACATCTTTTATTTTATATATAGTGATTTATAAGATCACTACATGGAAGATTACAGTTGGATATAAAATTGAAGAAATAAAATTTCCTTCTTCTTTGACACTTTCTTTCATGTTATCTAATATTTACTACCTAATTAATTCCATATTAGATGATGTTATTTTTCTTTGTCACTCAAGTAGAGACATCGATTTGAATCCTATCTTAGAGATATATTGATTTGACTCTGTTCTCAAAATAAATTGTTATCTGTGTGATTGAGGAAGAAGCCTAGGGTCTGCAGGACCCTCAGGGGCAGAGACCTGCCAATGTTCATATAGAGCCCTGCCTTTCTGTGAATTACTTACAAAATATAAGGCCAAGTAATATCCTACAGTGCTACTCTTGCTGACAGAAAAGCCCAGGACATCAAAGCTGGCTTAGCACTCTGATTGAAGGGGTGTCAGGCATCCCTGTCTGATTGAAGATGGTGCTGGCTGGATTGACCACTTGCATTATGAGACAGACACATTCTTAGGCATAAAAGGCTCTACTTTAACCTATTTATGACTCACTCCATTTACTATATTAGTCTCGCAAAAAAATTGAGGCCCCATGTAATATCTAATGAAAACAATAGGGAATATTCCTAGCATTTTAAGAAAAATGAAAAATAATCATGATACCTGCTATGATTTGAACATGTGTTCCCTCCAAAATTCATATTAAAATTTAATTGCAATTGTAACAGTATTAAGAGGTGGAATGTTTCAGAGGTGATTAGGCTATAAGGACTCCACACTCATGGGTGGAATTGGTGCCATTGTAAAACGGTGAGTTTGACCCCTTTCCTCTCTCTGGCCATGTCTTTGCCCTTCCACTGTGTGATGATGTACCAAGAAGGCACCGGCAAGATGGCGGCCCCTTGATTGTGGACTTCCTGGCCCTCAGAACTGTGAAATCATAAATTTCTGTTCATTATAAATTACCCAGTCTCAGGTACTATGTGAAAACAGCACAAAACAGACAAAGACAATACCTAACCAGAGGATCTTTAGCCAAGAAACACAGACCATAGAAGAGCTCACTTAAGAACGATAGAAAAGGCATTCAGCCATTCTATCCCATCTAATCTCGGCTGGCAAAAAGCGTACGCTGGTATTGTTCATTTTCCTGAGTCTACAGCAAGTATAAATGTCTTTAAGCCTAAATTCCTTTAGCGTTTATCCCCACACAATATAGGATATAGCAGTAGTGTATACCTCAAGCAGCTATTTTGAGATATAAAGAAAATAATAATATAGGTAATATCTGTAGTAGATTGTTTGGCATAGAGCAAGCCCTCAATAAATAATAACCATATTAATACATCATATCACTATTGTTTTTATTACTTTAACATGGGAGCCTATGTCTAATTCTATGATGTTTGGAATAAAGTAAGGAAATTTCAGAGTTGAAGTCATCAACATTAACAAAAGCTTTACTTCATTTCTGATATCTCCTGTTTTCTAAAGAACAGGAAATCAAAATAAAACAAAAATGAAACAATCTTTTCTTCTTTTTAACACAAATTGGAGATTCTGTATTAAGTAGTTTACTTTTTGCTTTAATTTTTAAATTTTAGATTCAGGGTGTACATGTGCAGCATTGTTACATAAGTATATTGCATGATGATGCGGTTTGGGCTTCTAAGGATCCAGTCGCCCAGCTTGAGTAGCAAACATAGTATCCCGTAGGTAGTTTTTCACCCCTTATTCCCTTCCTCCCTTTTCTTGGAATCCTCACTGTCTAATGTTCCCATTTTTGTGTCCATTTGTACCCAGTGTTTATCTCCAACATACAAGTGAGAACATACAGTATTTGGTTTTCTGTTTCTGCATTGATTTGCTTAGGATTATGGCCTCTAGCTGCATCCATGTTCCTGCAAAGAAAATGATTTCATTATTTTTCATGGCTGTGTAGTATTTCACAATGCATATGTACCACATTTTCTTTATCCAGCCTACCAATGATGGGCACCTAGGTCAATTCCATGTCTTTGTTATTGTGAATAGAGCTGCAGTAAACATTCAATTACAGGTGTCTTTATGGTAGAAAAAATTGTTTTCCTTTGAGTATATACCCAGTAATGGGATTGTTGAGTGAAATGGTAATTCTATTTTTAGTTCTTTGAGAAATCCCCAAACTGCTTTCCATGGGGACTGAACGAATTTGCATTCCCATCGACAGTGTATAAGCATTTCCTTTTATCCACAACCTCACCAATTTCGGTTGTTTTTTTGGTTTTTGGTTTTTTTTAAACTTTTTTAATAGCCATCTGACTGGTGTGAGATGGTATTTCATTGTGGTTTAGGTTTGCATTTCTCTAAAGATTAAGAATGTTGAGCATTTTTTCATATGTTTGTTGAACATTTGTTTGTCTTCTTTTAAGAAGTGTCTGCTTATATCCTTTGCCCACTTTTTAATGGGGCTGTTTGCTTTTTTCTTGTTTATTTGTGTAAGTTCCTTTTAGATTCTGGGTATTATTCCTTTTTCATATGCATAGGTTGCAAATATTTTCTCACATTCTGAAGACTGTGTTTAATTTATTGATAGTTTCTTTTGCTGTGCAGAAGCTCTCTAGTTTAATAATGTCCAATTTGTCTTTTTTGATTTTGTTGCATTTTCTTTTGGGGTCTTTATTATAAATTATATGCCTAGGCCAATGTCTAGAAGAGTATTTCCTAAGTTTTCTTCTATAGTTTTGATAGTTTGATGAATCACATTTAAGTCTTTAATTCACCTTTTTTTAAAGAATTTTTATATACATATTTTCTTCAGGGATATTGGCCTGTAGTTTTTTTTTTTCTTTGCCAGATTTTGGTATCAGGATGATACTTGTTCACAAAATCAACCAGATTTGATATCCAAATCTGTCAAAGGGAGTCAGGGAGAAGTCCCTCCTCCTAAATTTTTGGGAATAGTTTAGTTTTTGTATATGGTAAGGAGTAGAGGTCCAGCTTCATTTTTCTTCATATGATTGGCTTGCTTTCTCAGCACCATGTATTAATAGGGAACCCTTCCCCAGTGGTTTATTTTTGTTGTAGGTTTGTGGCTTTATTTCTGGGTTATTTATTTTGCTTCTTTGGTCTATGTATCAATTTTTTTCAGTATCGTGCTGTTTTGGTTACTGTAGCCTTATAGTATAGTTTGAAGTCAGGTAATGTGTTGCCTCAGGCTTTGTTATTTTTGCTTAGGCTTCCCTTGTGTATTTCAGCTCTGTCTTGGTTCCATACAATCTTTAGAATATTTTTGTCTAATTTTGTAAAGAATTAGGTTGGTAGTAGGAATAGCATTGAATCTGTAGATTGCTTTGAGCAGTATGGACATTTTAACAATATTGATTCTTCCAATGCATGAGCATGGAAAGCTTTTCTATTTGTTTGTGTCATCTGTGATTTTTTGCAACAGTGTCGAAAGCTTGTCTTATAGACGCCTTTCATCATCTATGCTAGATGTATTCACAGACGTTTTAATTTTATGGCTATTTTAAATGAGATTGTGTTCTCAATTTGGTTCTTAGCTCGAATGTTATTGGGTATAGAAATACTACTGATATTGTACAACGATTTTGTATCTCGAGACTTTGCTGAAGTCATATATCAGGTCTTTTGTGTACAATTTTTGGGTGTTTTAGGTATAGAATCATTGTCTGTGAAGAAAGATAATTTTAATTCCTCTTTTTCTATTTAAATGTCTTTTATTTCTTTCTCTTGCTTAATTCTTCTAGATAGGACTCCCAGTACTATATTGAATAGAAATGGTGAGAATGGGTATCCTTATCTTGTTCCAGTTCTTAAGGAGAATGCTTCCAACTATTGCCTATTTAGTATGATGTTGGTTATGGGTTTGTCATGGATGTCTTTTTATTATTTTGAGCTATGTTCCTTTGATGCCTAGTTTGTTAAAGGTTTTTATCATCAGGGATATTGGATTTTATCAAATGCATTTCCTGCATCTATTGAGATGATTACAGGGTTTTTGTTTTTAATTTGGTTTATGTGGTGAATCACATTTATTGATTTGCATATGTTGAATCATCCTTGCATCCCAAGACTAAAGCCCAATTGATTAGGATGAATTAACTTTTTCATTTATTGCTGGATTTGGATTGGTAGTGGTTTCTTTTCTTTTTTTTTAATTTTTTATGTCTATTTTCTTCAAGGAAAAAAATGTCCTCTTTTTTATTTGTCAGATTTTTGTATCAGGAGATACTAGTTCAGAGAATGGATCCAGAAGCAGTCCCTCCTCCTTGATTTTTGGGAATAGTTTCAGTAGTTTTGGTTTCACTTTTTTCAGTAGGCTAGGTTTCATTAATCTTTGTATTTTTTTTTTATCTCAATTTCATTTAGCTCTGTTCTGATTTTGGTTATTTCTTTCTTCTGCTAACTTTGTTAACTAAGTAAAATAAGTTGTTCTTATTTTACTAGAACAACTTTAGGTGTGTTGGTAAGCTGAAATTTGATATCTTTCTATCTTCCTGACATAGGCATTTAGTGTTAGAAACTTTCATTTTAAGACTACTATTGCTGCATCCTAGTGGTTTTGGTGTGTTTTGTCTCCTTTTCATTTATTTCAAGGAATTTTTAAATTTCTCTCTTAATTTCATTGTTTACCCAAAAGTCATTCAGGAGCAAGTTGCTTAGTTTCAATGTACTTTGCGACTTTGAGCATTTCCCTTGCTATTGATTTCTATTTTTATTCCACTGTGGTCTGAGATGACGATTTCAATTTTTTTTTTTTTTTGGAAATAATTGAGACTCTATGACCTAGCATGTGGTTAATCTTAGAGTATGTCCCATGCGAAGATGAGAATAATGTGTATTTTAGGGTTGTTGGTGGAGTCTTCTTTATTACGTCCAAGTGATCAAATGTAGAATTTTAAGTCTTGGTTTTAAGACAGAATTTCTGTCTTGGTTTTCTGCCTCAATGATCTCTGTAATGGTGTCAGTGCAGTGTTGAAGTCCTGCACTATTACTGTGTGGCTGTCAGTCTTTGCTTAAACCTAGAAGTAATTGTTTTATAAATCTGGGTGCTCCAATGTTGGGTGCATACATACTTAGAATAGTCAAGTCTTCTTGTTGAATTGAATACTTTATCAATGTCATACCCTTTTTTGGGTTCTTTTTTACTATTATTGGTTTACTGTATACTTTATCCGATACAAAACTAGTGACCCCTGCACTTTTCTTTGTTTTTCATTCCCACGATATAACTTTTTCCCTTTCTTTACTTTGATCCTGTGGGTGTCATCACATGTGAGATGGGTCTTTTAAAGGACAGAAGAAGGATGGCCATTTTTTAATCTAATTTGGCACTCTATGTCTTTTAGGTGAAGAATTTAGACTATATGTTTCAAATAAATATTGCTATGTGAGAATTTGTTCCTGTTATAGTGTTATTAGCTAGTTGCTTTGCAGTCTTGATTGTATTGTTGTTTTATGGATTCTGTGAGCTATGTGCTTGCATGTGCTATTATGATAGCAATGCCATTCTTTTGTTTCCATGTTTAGAACTCCCTTTAGCATCTCTCGTAAGGCCAGTATAATGGTGACAAATTCCCTTAGAGATTGCTTGTCTGGAAAGTACTTTATTTCTCTTTCGTTTAGGAAGCTTAGTTTGGTAGCATATGAAACTATTGACTAACATTTCTTTTTCTTTCTTTCTTTTTTTTTTTTTTGACAGGCTTTCACTTTGTCACTCAGGCTTGAGTGAAGTGGTGCAAATCTCAGCTCACTGCAGTCTTAACCTCCTGGGCTCAAGCCATCCTCCCTCCTCAGCCCCCCAAGTAGCTGAGACTACTGGCACATGCCACCATGCCCAGAAATTTTTTGTATTTTCCATGCAGATGAAGTTTCGCCATGTTGCAGAGGCTGATCTCAAACTTCTGAGCTCAAGCAATCCACCTGCCTTGGTCTTTCAAAGTGCTAGGATTACAAGAGTGAACCACCACACCTAGCCTCTTTTTCTTTTTCTTTCTTTTTTTTTTTTTTAGAATGCTAAATATGGACCCGCAATATCTTCTGGCTTATAAAGTTTCTGCTTAGAAGTCCATTGTTAATCTGATGGTTTTTCTTTTATGCATTACATAACCCTTTTCGCTAGATGCCTTTAAGATTTTTTTTCTTTCATATTGACCTTGAATATTCTGATAACTATGCACTTTAAGGAATGATATGGCTTGGATATTTGTTTCCTCCAAATCTCATGTTGAAATGTAACCCCCTGTGTTTGAGATGGGGCCTGGTAGGAGGTGTTTTCATCATGGGTTCAGATCTCTCATGAATGACTTGGTGATTAGTTAGTCTGTGTAAGATTTGGTTGTTTAAAAGTGTATGGCAGCCTCTTCCTCTCTCTCTTGCTCCTGCTCTCGCCATTTGACATGCTGGCTACCCATTACCTTCTGCCATGATTACAACCATCCTGAGGCCTCACCAGAAGCTGAGAAAATACTGGAGCCATGCTTGCTGTTCAGCCTGCAGAACCGTGAGCCAAGCAAACATATTTTCTTTATAAATAACCAAGTCTCAGGTATTCCTTTATAGTAACAGAAGAATAAGCTAATACACAGATGGTCATCTTCTATAGTTTCTCACTGGAGTTCCCTGGATTTTTGTATCTGCATGTTGACCTCTCCAGCAAGAATGGGTAAATTCTCCTTAATCATATCCTCAATATGTTTTCCAAGTCACTTAATTATTTTCTTTTTTCTCTCAGGACTGCCAATAAGTTGTAGGTTTGCTTGGTTTGCATAATCCTGCATTTCTTAAAAGCTGTGTTTATTTCTTTAGTTCTTTATTTTAAATTTTTGTCCAACTAGATTGATTTGAAGGATTGGTCTTTGAGCTTTGAAATTCTTCTTCTTGGTCTAGTCTGTTTTTAAGGCTTCCAACTGTATTTTGAAATTCCTGTAGTAAATTTTTCAATTCCAGAAATTCTTTTTGGTTCTTTCCTCATACCTATGTTGTCGTTTAAATCTTGGATCATTTTTCTT
Source organism: Homo sapiens (assembly GCF_000001405.40). Taxonomy (NCBI): domain Eukaryota; kingdom Metazoa; phylum Chordata; class Mammalia; order Primates; family Hominidae; genus Homo; species Homo sapiens. The sequence goes on along the minus strand of NC_000005.10, from coordinate 26,043,065 downwards.
GCTTTTTGCCTTGGATTTTTACTTGCTCTTGGATCTTATTGAGGCTTTTTTGCCATCCAAATTCTGAATTCCATATCTGTCATTTCAGACATTTTATTCTGGTTAGAATCCATTGCTTGAGAGCTAGTGGGATCCTTTGGAGGTGATGAAACACCATGGCGTTTTGTACTGCCACAGTTCTTGTACTAGTTTTTCCTCCTCTGAGAAAGCCGACACTTATTTATTTATTTATAATTTGCAATCACTTGGATGGAACTTCTTGAGTTTTTATTCTCTTTTCACTTCAGGGTATGACGGTTGTGTATATCATGTGTCATGGAATGGCTTTATTTCTAGATGTGTCAGGGTGTCACGGCTCTGTCCAGGTTTCTTGGTTGCAGATAGGTTCATGCAGTGGCTTTCTCAGACATTGCTCATTGTAGCAAAGTAATTGTGTTTGGTGGTGTGGTTCAGGTTGCAGTCTAGCAGACAGTACTTAAGAATAAGAGCTGATAGGTAGGGGTATGGATGGAAGCAATGGATAAGTGTCAGAAGCATTCTCCCCCAGTATACATTCACCTTCAGTGGGTCTGGAGCCACTGGAGAAACCTGAGAAGTGGACTCCGTCAGCACATGCTCCCTAGACCCCAGTGTGAAGAGCTGCTGCTGAGTCCATGACAAAACACTGAGGAGAGGATTGAGGGAGCAAGAGATGACCCCCTCTCCATAACTGTTCCCATACTTTAGTGGTGCCACCTTCAATGGCTGGCACTGTACTCTTGTTTTTACTGACCCAAAGTAGGCTTTGCTGGGCTATGCTTCCCTTAGACCTCCACAAGTGTGGTCCACCTCCCTCCCGCTCCTCAGAGCTGGTGGGGGAATATTCCCCGACTGACCAAGAGAGCAGGCTGAGGCACCTATCAATGACACACTCAGATCAGTTCCAAGTCACAAGGCTGTCACTGGTTGCAAGTGTCACTGCCCAAGAGAAGCCTTGGTTTCAGCAATTCTCCTCCCACTCCAGTCCTGTGATAGGAGAGAGCCTAATTCCTGTGTCTACTGCTGGGAGACTTTCTATACTCTCCACTTAATTCCAGATGTGGGTGCCTTTCTCCCATTCCAGAGCAAGTATTCCCATCTCTGGCCCAAAACTAAATGACTTGCTGTGTTCACCACTGGCACGTAGCCAAACAATGGCTCCAAACTCTCAAAATAATGCCTACTTTGGGTTTATGACCAGAAAGGGTGGCACCCCTCTCAGGTAAGCAACTTGGTCAGGAAACTGCGGGGAGTGCAGTCTGTTCTAGTCTTGGTCTCACAGCAGACCCTACCAGGGCATTAGATATTGCCCTAGGTATGCATGGAAACACCGAGGTTCCCTGCCCCTCCTTGGCTGGCTGGCATCTGCATCCACATCAGCCCAAACTCAGGCCAAGGGTGGGGTGCAGCTCAGAATTAAACTCTCAAAATCACACCTTGGGCCTGCAACCAGCTGGGGAGGGATGCTGCTTAGGCAGGCAGTGTAGGCAAGACATTGTGGGTATTGTGATCTGATCACATCTCAGTCTCACAGCAGCCCATTGCAGGGCAGTGAGTATTGTCCTAGATATGTGTGTAGTAGCCTGGTTTCCCTCTCAGTCCTTGGCTGGGCAATTGCTGCAGTCATGTCAACCTGAACTGAGTCCAAGGCAGAGTTCAGATTAGCATTAATCTCTCAAATGATGCCTTGAGCCTGCGGCTAGAGAGGGTGAGGCACCACCTAGGCAAGCAGTATATGGAAGAAACTGTGGGTAGCATGGTTGCTTACATCTCAGTCTCAACAGCAGCTCAGCAGGATGGCAAGTATCCACCCAGGGCTGCGTGGATGTGTGCCTTCATTCATCTCCCTCCTTGGGGCAGTGCAGCAGCTGCAGCTGTGTCTATAGGTCCCCAGTACTAAGTTCTCAAGATGGGTCCCAGCTGAGGCTGCTCCAGGCTCAGATGCCTGTGGGATTCTGTGTGGGTTCCCAACCTGGAGCAATGTCTCTGTGCAATCTTTAGCAAGCTTGGTTTGTCTAAGGGTTTCTCCCGTATACAAGATGATAAAAGCCAGTTTTTGACCTCTAGGGATTTCTTTCTTTCTGTTTCCCCATGTCCAGAAGCTTCTCCCAGCTCTCAGCATTTTCCTGGCTGGGTAAGGTGCCTTGAACTCTCCTTCCTTATTCTGATGTTTTCTGTCCCTTTTCCCGTGAAGCCAAGCTTTCTCTTCTAGAAGATTTTTTCAAAATGTATCTGCTTACTCTTCTGGCTCTTCTCTGTGGAGAAGACACACACTACCAGCAACTAGTCAGCAATCTTGATTTTGCCCCTTTTAGGTAGATTTTATACCACTGTATTTCTATTTTTATTACTATGTCTATCAAATCCAAATCTCTAGCATCGAGGGCATCTTTGCCCAATAACTTGAATCAGTTTACTCCTGTCTATCGGCACCATGATTCCTCTCACCAGTCCTGTTTTATTTTCCCAGAACTCATGTTTGAATGCTATAAAACACAGCATAAAATTGTTTAAACATCAGGAACAATTACTTTCTTATGCATTCATCTTTAGTGGTTCAAATCATGTGCTTAATTTCAGGTAATTCAGTGAAGTATATTTTTTAATGTGCACATTTTCTTAAAAAATAAAAACACCAAGAAAACATCATGGAAGAGTGTCATCTCATTTGACTAACTTTATTTTATCATGTCCAACAGATAACCAATCAATCACCAATTTTGTACTTTGCTATTTTGCTTAAGAACTTCAGTGGCAGAAATGGAAACTGCATGGAACAAAGACAATGATATTCAATCTTGTAACATTATGTCATAAGAGGAACATGGAAAAATAAAAGTTCATTTGTTATCTAATATTTTTGATAAATATTTATAAAAAAAGAACTAGAAAAAAAGCACATTCTGATGCAGACCAATATTAAATTAATAGAGGAATAAAATTATTTCTTTCACAAAGAGTATCACCAACTTTAGAGACAAATAATTGTCATTTCTAAAAATATTTGCTTTGAAGTCTTTAAAAATTATGAGTAAAAAGTCTCTATTTCAAAATAAAGTGAGAATATTGTTTTGCCCATTTCACCCATTTGTTCAAAATAAAAGGCTATTAATTGGTATTTATGTGCATGTGTTACATCTCTCTTTCCTTCTATAATGCATGATCTATGAGTATAGAGATGATTCATTCTTATTCAACACTCGGTCTAACAACCAGAAACAATAACTGGAGTATCATAGGTCAATAAACAGTGATTGAATTAACAAATGGCTGAGAGTTGGTTACATGTGGGTTTGGGAAGAATGGAAATTTAAGACTATATGATTACATATGTATTTTAGAACAATGGAACATATCTGTTCATATATAAATTGTATGCTATATAATATATATGTAATAGTATATACATCTTCATATATATAGAAATGTACATAATTAAATATACATATGGAAATATATGATGTTATACATCTATTACATTTAATTCCACTTATATAATGAACTATTTTTCATGATATCATATTCTGTTTTACTTTCCTTGCAGATAAGTATCGTTAGCTGTTACTGTGAACATTATAATTTTTTGTAATTATTTGTGAAAGTGGATGTTTAAGTGTAAAATAAAATCCAAATGTATTATTATTTTTTAGTCAAAAATATATAATATTTTCTACCAAGGCCAATAAAATAGGTTAAATTTTAAACTTTGCCTCACTTTCTGATACCTCCTTTTTGAATCTCCCTCTCAGTTGAGGAACAAAAATAAATTATCAGAATTCTAAAGTTTTAAGATTACTCTCTGAACTTGTCAACCCTACAGCAATCCAGAACTTAATAATAGCCTGTCTACGTTTACTCTTCTGCCTGCCTTCCTCCTACCTCAAACCTATCTGTTCCAATTTTCATTTCATCTCCCCTGTATCTCTATATAGTTTAAGATGATGATTAGTCAATCTACTGAAGCTGTGACATTAATATTTTTGTTTAAACTTGAGTAATCACAAGTTATTTATTTCTAATAACTGTGCCTGATTTCCTTTCCAATAAATTATCCATTTGAATGAGAGGCTTGTTGCTTAAATTATTAAAAGTTTAAAAATAACATTATTATACATATCAATTTATGTTCTTAGATGTAAATTTTGTCATTGTATTTTTTGAGATACTTAGGGTAAAACAATTAAAGAACATGTCGTACTTTTTCCTATGTCAGAAGAGTCTATTGCATTTACTCTGGCTAGACTTTCTTGGAGGAAATTCAAAGCAATGCATTCTGACACTAGATATTTGAGAAGGCAGATTTGGTATCTGTCAGGTTCACTGTCGTATCTCCATAATGCAGCACAGTTCCTGGCTCATAGTTGATCTTCCATAAACACTTGATAATTGAATGACTTTAATTATTCTCCCGTCAGCTCATCATTTGGCACAACTTTTCAGGGCACTGCCGCGGTCAGACATAGGGATGAGAAGCAGCAGGATATGGCTATGTAAAGGAAGCCAAATCCAAAAATCTGTTAGGGTAGGAGAATTCTGGCAGATTCCATTGGTGAGCATACAAGAGATTAATTATATAGAACTAAATATGTCTAAAAGTATCAAGTGGGAAATATTGAAGCAGGCAAGCAAAATAATTCAGTTTAGAAAAGTCAGGAAAGGGCAGATAGCTACCAACATACCTACCTATCTACCACTCCATTTTGGTCTATTTGGACAAAAGGACAATAGTAACTAAAGAAATAAGATAAATTTAAGAGATTACTAGCGAAATTACCCTTTCAGAGCTGTCAAATTACACATTTAGACCCATAGTTTTAGGTTAAAAAATCACATAAATTATTATGTATGCCAACGCCGGTCCAATTACAGAAATGAGTCCAAATATTCATTATTTGTTATGCTGATATACTTTGTGAAATTCTTCCCATTGGTCCACATAAAGAGAATAGGAAAAATTTTAGGAATGATGACATTGACAATATTATTTTATGGAAAACAAGATTTTCTGTATTAATGAAGGGCAATGGGCTAACAAATGCATTTCAGTCAAAGTATTTTTATTAGAGATTAAAAAATATGCCACATTATTCGGCTTTCATGACAGTCTAAATTCTATGATCACTAAAATAAATAATATAAAATAGAGAATAGAGGAAAAATTGCAATAGTTTCAAGATATTGTCTACTAGGCAATGGAGGACAGTGAATTCTAAAAGATGGAAAACAACAAGGTGAGCCCCACAATTGCCCCAGCCTAATGCTCTGTGAATATTTCCAGAGCACACAGCCTGGATAGGAATTCAGTTTGGAGCTGAGTGAGGTGAGGTGATATTGGTTGAGTATAGGAAAACAATATACTTAAAAGTTGCAAGGCAGAGTGCCAGAAAAGAGAGACATACACAGAGAGAAATATCCAAAGATTCATAGAGGGTTCCCATCAAGTATTCAGCAGTGTACAGATCAATCCAGGAATGTGAGGAAACGACCCTGGGCGATGGAAAGAACCGCCCTCATCAGGATTAGAAAGGATTTTAAAATGCTCATGATTCATGGTCATTAGATAGAGCATTCAGAAGGATCTTACTTCAGCTGAAGTGAATAGCCCTAGATGACAGTCTGTTGTGGAATCACCTAAAAAACTTTAAAAGCAAGCCTCAACTCAAATGAATGTTTCCAAGCAACTTAACCACATGGCAGAACAAAGCTCCATAGTACTTACGGGGATACAGAAATATTCTGCATCTAACCAGGAAGAATTTACAATATTTACCATCTAATAATAACTTATCTGGCATGCAAAAAAGCCAAAAAATATAACCCATATGAGGAAAAATGTAAATAATTTGACACAGACTCAAAGTGAAACATGTTAAAATGTCTAGTCTTGTCTGATTTGTTCAAACTGGATGGAAGTTGAGCATGATCAGTATAGATCTGGAAGATACATATGAAACACATACAATTGCTAGAGATAAAAACTGCAATATTTGAGGTGAGAAATACACCGCTTCAGATTAACAGCAAATAATAAACCACAGAAAATGAGCTATCATAATGATGCGGCAAGAGAAGCCCATCCAAAATTCATCACCAAAAGAAGAATGGAGAATAATAAACAGAGAATCCATGAGCAGTGGGCCATGTCTTCAAATGGCCTAATGTGCATTTACAATTGGATTCTCAAATGGGGACATTAGAGGGGGAGGCAGAAAAATTATTTAAAGGAATAATGGCCAAAATTGTCCAAATTTGATCAAAGCTACAAATTCAAATGTATTCTCTGGAACTCTCAAAGAACACCAAGCACAAGAAACATGAAAGAAATCACACCAAGGAAGATTATTGAACTGCTATCCCTGAATAGCCAGCCTGTTTTTATATTAGGGTTTATTTATATATATTAATAAACTAATATATATTATATTAGGATGTATTAATAAACCTAACTAATAAACCTTAATAAACCATAATATAACATATATTAGGGTTATATTAATTAATTGGGGAAGATTGATCAATAAAACTTAGTAGGGTTTATTAAGAAACCTAATTAATATTATTTATTAATATTAATTAAATAAAATTTAAAATAAAATTAATAATATTTATTAATAAACATAATTAATAAACCCTAATAGGTCTTATTGATCAAACTTTCCCAATCACTATATTTATGTTCCTTTACTGGTTATCCTTTGACAGGAAAGTTATGTAGAAGGGGTTTTTATATGGTGTGGATCTGTGTCCCCACCCAAATATCATTTTGAATTGTGATCCCCAATGTCGGAGGTGGGGTTTGGTGGGAAGTGATTGGATCATGGGGGTGGATTTCTCTTGAATAGCTTAGTACCATCTTCTTGGGTCTGTCCTTGTGATAGTGGGTGAGTTTTTGCGAGATCGGGTCATTAAAAAGTGTGTGGCACCCCCACCCCTCTCTTTCTTGCTCTCGATTTTGCCATGTGATGTGTCTGCTTCCCCTTCACCTTACACCATGATTGTAAGCTTCCTGAGGCCTCCCCAGAAGCAGATGCCACCGTGCTTCCTATACAGCCTACAGAAATGTGAGCCACTGCAATCTCTTTGCTTTATAAATTACCCAGTCTCAGGTTTTTCTTTATAGCTATGCAAGAAAAATATAATGCAGTGTTTTTAATCCAGTTTGAGACATTTTTTCAATGTTCATTCTCTACTCTTGTATTATGGTTAAAGATTACAGCTTTATGGGCCTGGCGCGGTGGCTCACGCCTGTAATCCCAGAACTTTGGAAGGACGAGGCGGGCGGATCACGAGGTCAGGAGATCGAGACCATCCTGGCTAACACGGTGAAACCCCGTCTCTACTGAAATAGAAAAAATTAGCCGGGCATGGTGGCGGGCGCCTGTAGTCCCAGCTACTCGGGAGGCTGAAGCAGGAGAATAGCGTGAACCCGGGAGGCTGAACTTGCACTGAGCCGAGATCGCGCCACTGCACTCCACACTCCAGCCTGGGCGACAGAGCGAGACTCCGTCTCAAAAAAAAAAAAAAAAAATTATAGCATTATGGCCAAGAAGCTCTCTCTTTCTTTGTAGCTTCATGTTTTAGCTGAAATATTTGACTTTTGTGTATGTATTAGAGTCATATAAGCACTGCCTTAAATTACCTTGTCTTAATTTATTCTGACTCTTTTCCCATTAGGTGACCTTTAATTTCGGGTCTACCTGCTTCCTTTATGTAGGGTCATCGCTCCAAGTCTGGATACTCCAATGATTTGCAGAATCTGATGATGCACCACATGCAAGGACCAGGGTGTAACTTCCCAGCAGCTATAAAGGGAAACTGATATGACACAAAATTGCAGAAACATCAACTCCCTGATGATCATACTGACCGATAGAGGTAGGAGATAGAAAGAAACTTTAAAAAGTATCTTCTTCATTCTGCTCTCCAAAGAAAAGGGGCACACCTTGTTTCTCTGCTTTTGACCAAAGACAACCAGCTTGGCTGAAGAGTACTGCTACGTCTCTTTCTGAAGCAGTGGTTACCTGGAATGCAACATGTACCACTGCTCCCTATCCATCCCTGACTCATATCCTTTGTCTAAGACAGTCACTGCTCTAGGTTTGCAACTCTCAAGAAAGCATTACCACTTGAGCTTTTCTTTAGGGTCAAAAACAGTGTGATTTGGAGTTCATTTGATAGTTTCTGTGTTTTTGTGTGTCTCCCCTTTTCTGATTATTTTAGATATGTAGCCTATTTTAAGCCTTCTAGTTCTTTAAATTTGACAAGTATTACAATATATTACATTAAAATGTAATATAGTCCTCTACATAGAAATAGTATATTCAAAATGTTCACAACTATTTTTTTAAATAATAAGAAAATAAAGCCTAGGGTCAAATACTCATGTCTTTAGTAAATTTTTTTCCAATCATTTTCTGTGTGTGTGTGTGTGTGTGTGTGTGTGTGTGTGCGCGCGCGCGCGCGCGCGCACAACAGAAAGAACAAAAGAGAGTGAGAGGTAGAGAAAGAGATAGGAGATATAAACTGGCAACGCTTTATTGGGATCTGCAAACCTAGAGCAGCGAAAGTCACAGACAAAGCAAATGAGTCAGATAGATAGAGAACAGTGATATATGATGCATTCTAGGCAGGCTCTGCTTCAGAAAGAGACATACCAAGAAGAATGTCTTTGGCTACAGGAGATATAAAGGGTATGAATGCAAATGTATTTCCTCATAAAATTTGAGTTTAGTTGTGTAGCCTGTTTTTCTACTTAACAGTATATGGTAACATTGCAAAGTAGTAAATACGCTTTTAAAACATGACCATAAAGGCCAGGCGTTGTGGCTCATGACTGTAATCCCAGCACTTTGGGTGGACAAGGCAAGAAGATCACTCAAAGCCAGGAGTTCAAAACCATCCTGGGCAACATAGACCCTGTCTCTACAAAAATAATAAATAAATACTTTAATTTTGTACTTATTTCATAAGATGAAAATATTCTTAGTAATGAATAAGGTTGACAATCACTGTTTTTAATCCTTTTGCACAATTTCTGCTGGAAAAAATGTATGTATGGTATATTTGTCCATTTCTCATTAGAAACAATGCTCTACTATTGGCTTACTCTGTCAAAGATGAAGAACTGTGTCTATATTTTAAACTCCTCATACATGTACAGCATATTTTAAAACATGTTTTCAATTTATAAACATTCCATCTTATCAGAATATAAAAATAAGCATATGCTTTATATTTGTTATATATTTTTATTATTTCCATGATTGTGTATTTATGTACTTTGTTGATCACTTTATATTTAATGGTTACCAACACTCTCAATCTTATGCATTTTTACAAATTTTCCATACATCACAGATAATAATGTATAAGGACAATTTTTAACATATAAAATACATTATAGTAATAACGTTTGAGTTTGGAGCAACTCTGAAGCTCACTACACACTTTACAAAAAACTCACAAATTCTTACAACAATCTTATAACATGATCAATACTGGGGGAACTGAAGCGCCATGTAGTGAATAACTATGGAAAGTTGGCACAAAAGTATGCTTTGATTAATTGATCAGGTCCATATGTTAAATATTCTCAGAGTTTCTTTCTTTTGAAGGTGAGTTAGAAAGTAAGTACTGTTACTTATAAGAATATGTGAATGAAATTTAATTAGAAGCACAAAAACAATTTGCTATTTCATGGATGATCAGAGACCTTGCTATTACGTCTGAATATTGCTATTTCCATTAATACTGATAAAGATTTTTATTATATTCCTTAATGTTATCTTCTTATGTAATTCCAGAAATGTAGTGTCATTTATATTTTCACTGTTACACCAGCTGTAATAAATTTGTTGTGGAAAATATATCCTATCATGCTGATAAAAAATAATAATAATCAGGCCACACACATATATTTGACCTCTTAATTCACATAGTAGTTTGGGATAGCAAGTAAAAAGTATATAATTTTAAAGGAGTTACAAGTTAATTTTGACATTTTTAATTCGAGTTTTAATGAAGAAGGTACACTGCCTCAGGGCATTTTTCAGTACTTCTTTTTTTTTTTTTTTGGAGACCGAGTCTCACTCTGTCACCTAGGCTGGAGTGCAGTGGCTTGATCTCAGCTCACTGCAACCTCCCCTTCCCAGGTTCAAGCAATTCTCCTGCCTCAGCCTCCTGAGTAGCTGGGACCACAGGCGCACACCGCCATGCCCGGCTAATATTTTGTATTTTAGTAGAGACAGGGTTTCACCGTGTTGCCCACTCTGGTTTCCAATGCCTGAGTTCAGGCGATCTGCCTGCCTCAGCCTCCCAAAGGGCTGGGAATACAGGCGTGAGCCACCGTGCCTGGCCTATTTTTCAGTACTTCTAATGTTTGTACAAAGTAGCCTATGCTCCTGCAAGCTGTTATACATGGTTTACAGCAACACTTTGTCAAAATGAAGATAAGAAGGGCTGCTTAATTTGTCCAAATTTCAATGTTTCTTTCAAAAAATGTATACAAAATAACATGCTACCTTCCATTATTATTATTTTTATATTCAAGCTAGTAAGGTTTAGTCCACATAGAACACCACTAATTGTCTCCAGCCACAAGATTAGCACCTGAAATCTCAGTCCATCTATTGTTTTCCTTGGCTTGTTGATGATCTTTATTATGACTATTTTAATGAACTATCAGGTAATTCATACACCTCTGTTTCTTTAGGATCACTTTCTGGAGATTTGTTTTGTTTATTTGATAGGACTATGTTTCTTTGCTTCTTTTTGTGTGCCTTGTAACTTTGTGTTGGGAACTTCATATTTGAAAAAGTAGCCATTTATCTTGTTTTTATGGATGGGTTTTATCCATGGAAACACCTTCACTAGTCAGCTGGGCTGGAGATTTTGGTACATACTCAAACATTTTCTGCAGATGTGTCTTTTCTAAATTGTGCATATAAATTCCCAGTTAGAGGGGTTTGTCAGTTTCTTTTTTCAAGGGTTTAATAATCTCTTGTCCTTTCTGGTGTCTGTTTGGGGTAGTGCAGGTTCTATCGAGCTGCCTCAAGCTTCCCAGTTTTATTATGACCTCAGGTCCTTCCAGACTTCTAGATTATGCAGTATCTCTTCAGGGTTCTGCATCACATGAGGCAGAAATCAGTCCCTTGGGAAGCCTCCTGAAGAGCCAGAACGTGGACCACTGTTCCACTCTTCTTTTTGACTCCTAAGACATAAGCCACTGAGCTGTACCATAATCTGCTGACCATACCATGTGTTGGTTGCCTGGAGCAGGGGCAAGCTTTTCTCTTTTGTTTTTAGTGGCCTCCAGGACTCTAAAGTATGCAGGTCTTATCAGTTCTCCAAGACAGGTGAGACATAAACCAGACCTTCAGGCATCCCTCTGAAACCCAGAGTATTGATCACAGTCTCCAACTCTTTCCCTCTGCAGGGAGATGCCGAGGGTTGGGGTTTTCTCTTGCTCATTCTGAGCTGAGCTTGGGAAATGGACTATATAGCAAGTGAGTGCTGGACTAGTCCAAACCACCCCTTTGTTCTCAGTGATCTGCAACATCGTGTCCTTTTTCATTAATGCTTAGATTCAGGCAAGACAAAAACCAATCTTTTAGGGGGTCCGCTGAAATGTCTATACATTGAATGGACGTTTCAGTCTCCTAATTCCCTTCAAAGGGGGAAGCCAGGAGCTGGGAGTTTTCTCCCTGTTTTGCTGTGCTGAGCCATGAGGAGGAACGATGATGAGTATGTGTGACAAATTTTCCTACCAACTGGAATGCAGCTGTTTTTTTCCCTGAGGTGGAGACGCCTCTCCTAATTGGTTTCTAGATTTCTCACAAAGTGAATTAGTCCATGTATTGTTGTTGAGTCAGTGTGTCCATGGAGAAAGAAGAATTTGGGGCTTCCCTTTCCACCACTTGCCAAACTCTACTCTCTATTTTAAAACCCACATTTGGTGACCACTGTCTCTCTAGACAGTATAGCCATATAATTTTATCATAATGTTGTAAAAGCTGTTCAGTGACATTTATGGCAGCCAGATCTTACATGACTCTCCAATTATTATAATCCTCACATCTGTTAGCTATCTTGGAGATAGCCCAAAATATGATATTTTATTTAACCAGAAAATGTAAAAGCCAGGTATGTTTCTTCTTCTCAATTTAAAGGGTAGTAAGGAATAATGCTTTTGCACAATGCGATTATCTGTGTTATTCCACCAACTTTTAGCTATCCTCTTTAGTATATACATTTGCTGAAGGTGGCCTTTTACCATGATAAGAGATTGGTTAGCATTTATAATTCTATAAATTACCATACCAATTTAGAAATCATGGGTTCAAAATATATGAATATTTGTAAGCATAGCAGGCAGTTAGGTCTCTATAGATACCGATTTCTACTACGTTTTTAAAAGCAGAAACAATAGCTTTCATGCTGCGTGGTCTGGGAAAACACACACACTCACACATGCCGTTTACGCACTTCCGGTTTAAGGCATTCATGAATAACATTTACTCTTCTTTGAGACCTAGAAACCAAAGGACACGTTCCGGGACTAGCTCTCAGATATCCAGTTCTTCCCTTACTCTGGTAGAACAATGTCTGTCCTCTTCGTGTAGACAAAACTTCCATTAACACAATGCCAAGGATGACAAATGACTTCTGCATTCACCTTTCCACAGTCTGCTTGATCAATAGCTTAATGTTCTTCTTATTGCGTCACACAGGGTGGTTTTCAGGCACCTTCCACATAAAGAACTGGCTAGGTTCTGCTCAAGTTGGAGGCCAATATTATGCCCTCAATTACTTAATTGATTCTCTGAATTCATTCCCTTAATTATTTTAATATTAAGCTTTTTTTTTTTCTTTTTTAGACAGAGTCTTGCTCTGTGGCCAGGCTAGAGTGCAGTGGCGCGATCTCGTCTCACTGCAAACTCCACCTCCTGGGTTCAAGCGATTCTCGTGCCTCAGTCTCCTGAGTATCTGGGATTACAGGCATGCACCACCTCACCCAGCTAATTTTTGTATTTTTGGTAGAGACGGAGTTTCACCATGTTGGCCAAGATGGTCTTGATCTCTCGACCTCGTGATTGGCCTCCCAAAGCGTTGGGATTACAGGTGTGAGCCACCATGCCCAGCCACATTTTTTAAGTAAGCAAAATTTTAAGCTATTGATGTCTACACTTAGGCAATAATTAAAACCCAGACCCATGAGAAATTATTATTAGGCATAATTTAATGGCTTTCTCTTGACTGTATCACTGCTTCCTGTGTTTTGCTGAAGTAGATATAATTTTGAATGTATGTGAGTATCACTTCATATGTTATTATGGCCGGGCATGGTAGCTCATGCCTGTAATCCCAGTACTGTGGGAGGTTGAGAAGGGTGGCTCACCTGAGGTCAGGAGTTCAAGACCAGCCTGGCCAACATGGTGAGAACCCATCTCTACTAAAAATACAAAAATTAGCGGAGTGTGGTGGAGTGTGCCTGTAGTCCCAGCTACTCAGGAGGCTGAGGCAAGAGAATCATTTTAACCTGGGAGGTGGAGGTTGCAGTGAGCTGCAATGATGGTACTGCCCTCCAGCCTGGGGAGACAGAGTGAGACTCGATCTCAAAAATTATATATACATATATGTGTGTGTATAGATGTATGTATATATGTATATATAATGTATAACATATATAATATATACATGTATATATAATGTATAACATATATAATGTATATATGTATATACTATGCATATATGTGCATATAATGTATATATGTATGTATAATGTATATATGTATGTATGTATGATGCATGTGTATGTATATATAATGTATATATATAAGTATGTATGTATAATGTGTATATATACATTGTATATATACTACGTATATATAAATTGTATATATAATACTATTACATTTTCAAAGAACCTTGTCTCAACTACCACCTTAAGAAGAAATCTTATTAATAAATATAAAAGTTTATATCCTATACAGTTTTATATTATTCAAATTTTGTTCTATGTCAAATGCCTTACTTCGGGCCGGGCGCGGTGGCTCACGCCTGTAATCCCAGCACTTTGGGAGGCCGAGGCGGGTGGATCATGACGTCAGGAGATCGAGACCATCCTGGCTAACAAGGTGAAACCCCGTCTCTACTAAAAATACAAAAAATTAGCCGGGCGCGGTGGCGGGCGCCTGTAGTCCCAGCTACTCGGGAGGCTGAGGCAGGAGAATGGCGTGAACCCGGGAAGCGGAGCTTGCAGTGAGCCGAGACTGCGCCACTGCAGTCCGCAGTCCGGCCTGGGCGACAGAGCGAGACTCCGTCTCAAAAAAAAAAAAAAAAAAAATGCCTTACTTCTTTTTATATTTTAGTTTATTATTTGTTGGGATAAATGATCAAATGTCTTATTTTCCAGAGATATATTGAGCCCTAAACTTTCTAAATTTTTCAATAATTGAAAACACTTTTATTGTTAAAAATTCTAAATAAAAACATTTTTCTAAGTGTTTTTTTTCTAAATTTAGAATATTTCTAAAACATTAAAATGCTGACTTTTTTCCTATTATCATCTTTTATTACAAATGAGACTCTTTTGCTGACCTTATTCTATTGACCTTTTAGACAACCAGTGTTGACTGCTTTTTGTGTGCTTGATTGCAAAAGTTTATAAGATTGGTATTATTCTGAGAGAAAATATTTTCTCAAAATATAAATAGTATTAGTTATTTTATTGTATTGTCACCACGTGAGTTTTTCAGCCTAAAGGTTTAAGTATTCCTTCATCAATGGGATTTTATTACTTTTCTATTTGCTGTGTATCTTTTCAATTTATTCTCACACTTCTTCAATTACATTATATTTCTCACATTCTGAAATCTCTGTTGGATTAGTGGGAACTTCCAGCTATTTTAAATACTATTTACTTTCCATTTTTAGTTTATCATTAATTCTAAAATAATCTATTGACTTGTTCTCTGATCTCAACATATTTGGATTTCAGCTGCTTTCTTTTATGTTTCATTGAGTCTCTGTGTGTGTGTGTGTATGTCACAAGTATATTTAATTTATAAAAGTTTTGGCTATTTACAGATGAGATTGTTTTATTTATCTGTAATTTCTCTTTGATTCTATTTATTTATTTACTCTTTTACATAAACAGTCTGATTATTAACATGTATGTATGTATGTATGTATGTATGTATGTATGTATGTATGTATTTCATTCTGCTAATTTCTGGATTAGCAAAATGGATTCTGCCATAAACCAGAATGAATGGATGTGGACTGTCCTCCAGAGACTTGAGAATCGGCCAGGCTGGTGACATACTGATTTTACCTCATGAGACCCTAGGCTGAGCAGAGCCATTTTGACTTCTACCTTGCAGAAATGTGATATAACAAGCAGATGTTATTTGAAGCCACTACATTTGTGGTAATTAATTTTGAAGTAATAGAAAATAAATACATATTATTTATTTATATTTGTCTGTATTTTTAGTGTACATTTGGAATTTTAAGTTTCTTCTCTCCATTGGTGGTTTAAGTTACCTTGGAAACTATTATATTCTTTAGTCTCAACATCATTTTGTTATAAATTTTACCTGAAAGAGCTTTTCATGTATTTAAATCAGAAAACACTTTTTCTGAGAGCATTGGTCCACTAAAGCTGTTCTTCTGTTCTGTAATTAATTACCTGTATAGTCCACACTCCCTAACTTCCAATACCTCCATATTTGGAGACATACTAGGAAAAAACTGGCAATTTTTGAGATTCTCATTTTCATCTGAATGTGCTTGTGTTTTTCTCAGCTCCGTTGAATTTTATTGTAAAACTTTTATTCTTTGTATGCCATGCAGAACCTCCTAAATATTTGGGTATGTTGCTGCCTCACTTTTCTTTTCTGCATTGCTGCATTTTAATTTTATTTTTATATTATTTCATAATTTTTCAATGTTGACCAATAAAGAAGTAATCTTATGTGTTTAATTAGCCATTTACAAACTCAAAGTCATATATATGTGTGTATATATATAGTTTCCTAACATTCAGATATCTATAACTATTTATCAGGGAAAATATGTTTCCTAGAATTCAGATAACTAAAATTAAATTAATATAGTTTCAAAGGAAATGATATTATGAAACAGATAGGCTATTGCAAAACTAGACAGCAATAAAGCCAATAAATTTTTATTTTTCAACCTCATTTATTAAAAACATTGCCTTTTACCTTTGAAGTTATGTTTTTGTTCCCAAATGTAAAAAATATAAGGCCAGTAATGCTCTTATAAGACTGTGTATACATATTATATTTTCATTTTGGATTTATTATTATATTACTTTTTGTTTCAGTTGTTACAGATGATGTAGTATGCCTTTTTTTTTACTTCCCATTGATGTATTTTATACACTACATATCTGTTTATATTCAAAGCAATCTTTTAGAAATGCTTACGGCTTTTTTACCTTTGAGTCTCAAATATAAGACATATTTATCTTCAATGGTAAATTGATCTGACAGGATGTTTAGCCACAAAGTCAATATGATTAATAATATCTTTTAAAGGAAAATTTAAAACATTTTTTTCATCTAAAAGGAAAAATCAAATTACTACAACAAATACATTAATGTAGTTAATCCATTACATTTATAGATTCCATTATGTAAATTCATAGATTTTTATCCAACATCATTTGTTGAAAATAATATAGTCTCAGAAGCCATAAATCGAAGCTTGCTAATGGACTCAGATATGCTTATAGTTTTTAAGTGCTGAGGAGTACAAATGCGAACACTATTGCTCTCCAAGTAACTCAGGTCATTCACCCGTGAAGAAAGACAAAAATACATTAAAGCAATAAAATGGCAATCAACTGTAAATAAATATGAGAACATCTTTTTCAAAAGAGCACTACCTTGTCAAAGATTCCACAGTTATTGTCAATGCACGAGAAGATGTTTGATAAAAGTTTACTGTGAGTTTTTTATTCAGCCTACTAATGGTCTAGCTTTGTGTGAATAGCTTTCAGGTTTCCTCCCTACATTTTATTTTTGTTCTTATATTTGTTTTTGTTTTCTAGTATTAAGCTTCAGGTAATTACAAAATTTGTTAAAGTGATTAAACATTGAAGGTAAAAGAAAGGAAAACATATTATTTATTTTCATGTTTCAATCAGATCTTGCCAGCGAAATGACTAATGTCTCCAATTATCCTTGCTGTAATCCTCACTCATCCACTAAATATTTAATGTAGTTCCCAGATCATGAATCCCTTAGTCTGAATACCATTTTATTTTTTTAAAAAAGTATTGATTTTACAGATCACTATAATTAATATACGAAATTGACAATATTGATAAATAAAAGTTAAATGTTTCTTTTCAACGAACATATATTCTCATTTAAACGTTGTAAATGTTTCTTTTCAATGAGCATTTTTTCTCATTTAAAATTTACACTCTAGTTCAGAGCAGTATTTCTCCAGTTATTTAGGGGAGTGCTAGTCAGAAGAAGTAATGTATAACAAATGTCCCTATAGCATAATACCCATAAAAATTTTTGGTGAGGGATCTGACGGGTTATGAGCATAACTGATCTAAAGAATATTTAGTTAAAACACAATACCTCTTCTACGGTTCCTCTTAAATCACTGACATTACCGTAGTTCTGTGGCTCTCCGAACGTGCTCTCATAAGCATAAACTCATAATAAAAGTTACTTCTTTTTTTTGAAGTTGACTATCTTGAAGGAAAAGTATCTTTTACATTACAACCATTTGGAAATTTTTAATATGCATTGGGTGAGCACCCTAATAAGTTTGTCTTTCTTTTAATTCGGTAACAAAAAGGAACAGAACAGGTGGTCTGAGTGTCTCGCGCCTGTAATTCCAGCATTTTAGGTGGCTGAGGTTAAAGAATCACTTGAGCTCAGGAGTTTGAGATCAGCCTGGACAACATAGTGAGACCACTCTCTACAAAAAAATTAAAAATTAAAAAATTAGCCAGGCATGGTGCACATAGCTGTGGTTCCAGCTACTTGAGAGGCTGAGGTGGGTGGATGGTGTGACCCCTGGTGGTCAAGGTAGCAGTGAGCTGTGATCCCACCACTGCACTCCAGGTTGAGTAACAGGGAGACCCAGTCTCAAAATATTAATTAATTAATTAAAAGTAAATATTTTAAAAAGTAATGAACAGATGTTATTATTTTATTTTAAAAGAAAACTTCAATGATGAGTAGAAATTTTAAATATCTTGTAAATTAGTAAACTATAAATTTGTCTAAATGATGTATTTACTAAATAGAGTTGCAATTCAAATATTTTTAAAGGGATATTTAAATAAATAAATACCTAAAGACACACCTATCTTAAATAAGCCTAAATGACTATATATGCCCTGTATTCAATACATTAAAATTACAGACTCCTTTTACACACATGAAGTCTTCCTGTCGACATGTGATCACTGAAAGCCCTAACTCTGTGTAGGAGATGCAAAAGCTTTCAATCTATGTTGAGATTCTGAGGTTTAACTAACATGTACTGTTTTCTAGAACTTACTATTGCAATGACTAAGTTGATCAGGCTTAAGAAGATTCTACTTTAGAACATTTAATGCAAACCCAGATCTGTAACTTCCTAAGTCAATGATCTTGGACAGATTATTTATCCTAATTTCCACTATGATATAAAATTTGGACTAATAGTAGTGTATGCTTGTACTGGTTTGATTAATCAAAGAAGCAGATACCGACATGATTTAAACATGCAAGGAAGTTAGAAACTATAAGTTTTTGGGGGCAGTCATCTAAACAATTGAATGATGGCACTGAGAGAAGAAAAAAATTAAAATAGATTGGGCACGTATATTAACATCTGTGCAAAGTGGAAACTTGCCGCAAGGCCATTGGTGAGTCTTCGAGCCAAAGACAGCTGTCAGAGGTGTCTGAAGTCTCACACTAATGGGTCTGCAGTAGTATCCTGGCTGGGCTCAATCAGTGCCAGGAACACCCTAAACAAGCGAAGACATAACATAATTTCCGAGATGTTTTTCAAATTGTAGCAGCTAGGCCCTGAATCAACTATGCTCTCTGTAGTTGGGAGTTTATGAGGTGCACTCTTGTGGCCACCACATTACCTCGTAAAGGTATGAAAACATTATAGAAAGAATTCCATTGAAAGCACTTAAAACAGTCTTAAGACTAAGCTCAATAAAAGTTTGCTGTCATTTGGAAACATAAAGTGCTCATCCTTGAGTAATGAAACGAGCTACACTATATTGCAGATATGTTGGACTTTGAAGATTAACACTATTCAGAATTTCTAAGCCAGAATACCAAAGTACAGGCTGAAGGACACGTAGGCTTCATATTATCAGGAGCAAGGCACTTGCTTGACCTCACCGATCTTTTTCCTGAACTGTCAGTAATGTCATCAGGTGTAAGATCAGCCTTTTAGAGAGAGCTGATAAGGAATAATTGAATAATTCAGCTGCTCCTGACACAACACATTCGCCAATTATAGAGAATATATTGCAGGGAGGCAGTTCTGGTGGGCTCCCAGAAGCTCAACGTGTACCTTACTCAGATTACAATATCAGATTCCTACAGTGGCAGTGCAAATACACAGCCACAGCTGCCAGAGGCACATGAGCAGATGTATCTTATAGCACTTTTGTGAGGAAGCAGGGTATATGATTTTCAAGTTCTGACATAATTAAACATTTAAATTAGTTTAGTAAAACAATACCTTATTTTTATCTGACATATAATAATGCAATCATTTTAAGCTTAGATTGTAATTCAAGTACAGATTCCTTTCTGTGCCCACATTTTTCTCAGGTTCTGTGTTGCAGGATTTGCATATACTCAAAGCATTTAATCTATAGTCTATGATATTTCAGTCACAACAAATATACTATGTCCATATTTATACTATGCTCAAAGAGTTACACTAACAAACTTGAAAGTGTGTGTACGAGGACAAGAAGGGCACTCAGGGACATGAACAGTATGAGAACTTAAAACTGTATGACACCCAGAATATGGGAAGGCCAATGCAAGTGGTTCAGTTGAGGCCAGAAGTTTGAGATCAGCCTAGCCAACATGGCAAAATCCCCTCTCTACTAAAAGTACAGAAGAATAATAATAATAATAATAATAATAATAATAATTAGCTGGGTGTGGTGGTACGCACCTGTAATTCCAGCTACTTAAGAGGCTGAGGCAGGAGAATCACTTGAACCTGGGAGCTGGAGGGTGCAGTGAGCCAAGATTGTGCCACTGCATTCCAGCCCGAGTGACAGAGCAAAACTCCGCCTCAAAAGCAAAACAAAACAAATGACAACAAAAAACTGTACGATATTGGCTGGCAAGTAGGCTGGTTTACAGCACAGAGTACAAAGATTTTCCTGGGGGGAGGAGATCTAGACATTTTCTTTAAATATCCACAGATTGCCACATGAACAACTGATTATAGTTTCATGTGTTTTTTGTTTTATTTGTCTTTTTCCATAGTGGGGGTTATCAGGCACAAATGTCCTTTCAAGAACCAGTGTAATAATGAGATTAAAGGCATGGTAATCAAGAACCATTCCCAACAAAAACTCTCTGAGCCTCAGATTTCATATTGATAATGCAAGGTAGAAATTATCTCTTAGCAATGTGTGAGCACTAAATTTATAATATTGGTAAAACATGTACCATGTGTCTAGGTCAAAGTACAAAACTCAAAAGAACAAATCTTAAGCTCATATATTGGACTATCCCAGAAGGAGGCAACACTGCTTTTATAAAAAGTACTCACAGTCACAGGACAAATTTTAGGACTGTTTATTTCATTGAATATTAAATCATTAGAAAAGTGTTAACTTCTGTTTAGAAAGCCTATGCTCCCCTAATAAGTTTTACATCACACAATTAAAATTTGAGGTAATTGACTATCCTTCCAAAATTTCCAGGTACTTATTATTTCCTTTTCTATCCTTTTTTTTTCTTTTATTCACTTTCTTATTACAAAGAAATAATTTACTGAAACATGAACATAAGACAAAATAACTGATTTCTTAATATTCGAGGTAAATTCTTCTAAGCTCACTTCACACTCCTATAATTCTCTCAAGAGATAAATATTTGTTTGAATTATGTTTTCAGCCTAAAGAAATTAGACACTAACATATTGAAAAAATGATGTTAAAACAGTTTTTGGCTTATAGAAATAATAACCCAAATCTTGTGGATTTGTTGACTTGCAGCACATTAATCTGTCTTTTAGCTATTGTGACATTCTTATTTTTGCATTATTTCCTTAATGATTTCTTCAGATACCTGGAGATATAATTCATTGTCTTTCTGCTGGTGCCTAATTAACAAATAGAGAAAAATTTTAACCTGAGCCAAACACCAAACTAAATCAAACCAAAACAAAGTCTTTGAGTATTTTGCATTTACCTATTTTCCTTCCTACCTTCCCTCCCATCCTCTTTTCTTCCTTCTCTCCTCCTTCCTTTCCTTTCCGGTTTCTTTGCTTTCTTCTTTCCCACATTGCCTCTCTCTCATCTTCCATTTCTTTCCTTTGCATTCAATATTTCTTCCTTCGTCTTTTTCTTCTCTTTATTTTTTTACCTCTAATGTTTTT
Source organism: Homo sapiens (assembly GCF_000001405.40). Classification (NCBI taxonomy): domain Eukaryota; kingdom Metazoa; phylum Chordata; class Mammalia; order Primates; family Hominidae; genus Homo; species Homo sapiens. Next base: position 26,021,414 of record NC_000005.10, on the reverse strand, counting down.
TAACTGAGTCATAAACTAGAATATTTCCAATTTTGTATGCACTAAAACTACTTTTATATAATATCATTGTAGTGTTACTATCATGCACCATACAGTGCTGTACTTTACCATATTGTCTTATCTCTGAGATTAAATCACAGACAAAGGTAGCAGACTATTTTACTGTATAAATTATGAGCGTACTTCCTATTTATTTATTCTGAAAAAGTGAATCAATGAGACAGTTGGGTAACCTGGGAATGACTCTGAGACTTTGCATGCAGGAGGGAAGATTTGAAGGGTGAAAGGTGAGACAAAAAGAACTGGGAAGAGGGAGAATCTGAACTGCAGTGTCCTTTTCTAGACAATACACATAAATGAAATCATATAGGTCTTTTATAACTGTTTTACTTCATGTAACATGATATTTTCAAGGTTCATTCATATTTAACCTGTGTTGTTACTCAATTCCTCTTTATAGCCAAATAATATTTCACTGTTTGGATATGCCACGTTCTGTTTATGCATTAATCGGTCAATGGACATGCGGATTTTTAACATTTTTTGGCTATTGTGAGTAATGCCACTATGATCATTAATGTGTAATTTTTTGTGAACACACATTGTTAGTTCTTTTGGTTATATAACTAGGAGTCAAACTGGCTGAGCTATGGTAGCTCTATTACACATAGACAATGTGAGGAACTGAAAAACTGTTTCCAAAGAGGTTGTACCATTTCATACACCATCAATGAATGAGAGTTTGTCTTCACTCAGCTCATTTTTCTACATCTTTGCTGATACTTATCATTGTTTGCCATTTCATTTTAGCCATTTGCTGGAGGTAAAGAAATAATAAATAAGTAAACCTTATTCTTATTTGGCTTGCATTATTCAGGTGACTAATAAGTCTGAGTATCCTTTTTTGTACTTATTGTTAATTTGTTTACCTTCTTTAGAAAATTGTTTATTTAAATTGTCAGTTTTATTTGTGTTATTTATCTTATTGCTGAATTGTAAAAGTCTTTTATATAATATTGACTTATAAGTCACCCATTAGAACTACAATTTGCTAATCTTTTCTTTCATTTTGGAGGTTGTCTTTTCACTGCCTTGATAGCGTACTTTGAAGTAGAAACATTTTTAATTTCAAGGAAATTCAATTTATCTACTTTATCTTTTGTCACTCATGGTTTTTTTCACATTGAAGAATGATTGCCTTACCCAAGACCCACCAGGAAGATTTAATTCTGTGTTGTCTTATAATTGGTTTATAATTTTAGGTTATGTATGTAGGTCTTAATCTATTTTGAGTTATTTCTGATATGAAGTGCTGAGGACCCACACATTCTTTTACCCATTGATACGCAGTTTTCCCAGTGCGATTTGTTGTAAAGACTGCTTTTTACACATTGACATGTCATGGCAACCTTGTTGAAAATTATCTGTCGTAAATTTAAAGTTTATTTATGAATTTTAAAAAAATATTCTCAATCTATATGTCTCTACTTATGTCAATGTAACACTGTCATGAATATTTTGGATTTCTAATAAATTTGGAAATCAAAAATTATGAATCCTCTTACATTTTAAAAAATGTTTTTACCTATTCTGAGTTCTTTGCTCACACACACACACGCACACACATATATATATAAATTTTATGATTAGCTTGCCAATTTCTAAAAAAAAAAAAAATGCCAGTTGAGATTTCATAACCATTATGTTGAATCTGTAGGAAGTTTCAGCAGTATTGCCCATTTAACTGTAGTCTTTCCTTTTACTTTTATTTTGCTTTTTTAACTGACAGATAAAATTGTATGCATTTCTTGTGTTCAATATGATGTTTAAAAATATATACACATGCACATTGTGGAATGGCTAAATTTAGCTAATTAACATATACATTAATTCACAAAGTTATAACTATTGTGATGAGAACACAAAATCTACTCTCAGTAGTTTTCAAGAAGTCTTTTATTCCATGATATGGGTGTTTTCCCATTTGTTTAGTTCTTCTTTAATTTTCTTCAACAACGTTTTGTAGTTCACTGTATGAGTCTTGCAATTCTTTTGTTAACTTTATTCCTATTTTTGCTGATGCTCTTGTAAATAAAATCATTTTTAAATTTCATTTTCAGATTGTATATTTGCTGATGTATAGAGCTACAGTTGTTTTTTTGTACATTGATCTTATATTCTGAAAACTTTCTGAACTCACTATTAATTATAATACTATTAGCGGATTCCTTATATTTTGTATATACGTGATCATTTTAACTGCTAATAGTTTTACTTTCCAGTATCTGATCAGGATGCCTTTTACTTTTTTTTCTTATTTAAATGCAACAAAAAGGACCTTTAGTACATTGTTGAATGGAAGTTCTGAGAGTGGAAATTATTGTCTTTCCATGGTATTCTATTTTTTACGATTAAATATGGTAACAGGTGAATATTTTTCACAGATACTCATTTTTAGTTTTGAGGTGTTCTCTCCAACTCCTGTTTTTTCATGCGTTTACTAAGAGTGTTTAACTTTTTTGCAATGTCTTGCTTGTATATCATGAGATTTACATACTTTTTTCTTTTATTCTTTTAATATGGAATATTGTGGTGATTAATTTTTGAATGTTAAATTTTGCCTTCCTGAAATAAACTCATTGGTCATGATATATGCTTATTTTTGTCATAGATTTGCATTTTTTGCAAATATTTTTATAATCATTTTTGTTCCTTTGTTAGATATAATTTTCGATAATTTCTTCTTTATATGCTGCCACTGTCTGGTTTTGAAATTAGGGTAATTCTGTTCTCATAGATTGGAGGGCAATTTCTTTTCTTCTAATTTTTTTGAAAGAGTTTGTGTAGGAGTTGTTTTAATTATTCATTAAATGTTTGACAGTGGTACATAATGGGTTTATAGTTTTGTTTAAGTGTTCTATTTTCTTGTTGATGTTTTGTGTAGTAGTTTTATCCATGTTTGACACTGAATATTAATGACACCAATGAAGATTTGCCTATCCCTTGTCTTAGGTCTGTTAGTTCTTGTTTCCATGTATTGTGAGGCTGTTTTATTATATATGTAAAGTTTTATTATTGACACGTCTTCTTAATGGATTAATGCTTTTATTGTTGTAAACTGTTCTCTTTCTCTAGTAACTCACTTATATTTAAAGTCTATATTGTCAACTATTAGTATAGCAATCTTAGCTCTTATTTTTACTGTTTACATTGTACATCTTTTCCTGTTCTTTTTCTTTCAACTGATTTGTATGTGAAGACCTAAAATGTGTCTATGGTAGACAGCCTACAGATTGATCATAGAACTTTTATCCATTCTTCAAGTATCTCCCACTAAAAATCAGAATGTTTATTTACGTTTAAGGTAATTACTGATCAGATTTACAATTATTATTTTTTTCTATATTTATTATGCCCTTTTCAATTTATACCTTCTGCAAAATATATTTTTTCTACCATGGAATTTTGATTTCCTTTTTCTTGTTTTAATTTACTTTTGAAGTTTTTGTTGGTGGTGGTGGTGGTGTTATGTTTTTGTTTTTTTTTTCTGGCTTGGTTTTGTGTGCGTGTGTATTTGTTGTTGTTGGCCTGGACCTTTCACTTTGTACATTACAATAAAGGAATCTAGTTCTGATTAATACCAACATAATTTTACTAATATACAACACTTTCGTCTTTTTTCCTCTTTTATGCCTTCTTGTAAAAATGGTACTTATTTATACAAGATAAGTTCATCAACACAATTCTATAATCAATGCTTTGTGATTTTTTTATTTTTTATTGTGGTAAAATATGCATAACATAAAATTTATTATTTTAATCTTTTTTATGACTGTAGTTAGTGGTAATAACTGTATCCGCATCCTTGTACAGCCATTACCACTATTCATCTTTAGGACTTTTTTTTGCATCTCTCAGGCTGAAATCTGGACCCATTAAAAAATCACTCTTCATTTCTTCCTCCCCAAGCCCCTGGTTGCCAATTTTGTTTTGGCTCTATAAATTTCACCACCTGAGGTTACTCATATAAGTGGAGTTATGCAAGTTGGTCTTTTATGACTGGTTTATTTCACTTACCATAAGCGCTCAAGATTCACTCATGTTATATGTTAAAGTTTCCTTCATTTTTCTTGCTGAAAAACTATTTCACTGCATGTATATAATACATTTTGTCTACCCATTTACCCACTGGTGAACACTCAAGTTGCTTTCACCTTCTGGCTACTTTAAATAATGCTGCTATAAATGTTGGTATACATGAAACATGGATATACATTCAGACATATCTGTTCAAGTCCTTGGGCATATACTCCAATATGAAATAAATGGATTATATGACAACTCTAAGTTTCAATTTTTAATAAACTGCCATACCATTTTCTCTAGTAGCTGTACCATTTTACATTTTCACCAACCATGTACAAACGTTCTAATTTCTTCATATCCTCACCAACACATATGATTTCTTTCGTTTTATTTTGTTTATAACAGCTATTCAAATGAATGTGAAGTGGTATCTTGTTGAGCAATTGGTTTGAATTTCGTCAGTGATCAGTGAGATAGTGCAGTTTTATATGTGTTTATTTGCCATTTTTAGATCTTCTTTGGAGAAATATCAATTCAGGTTTTTTGCTCATTTTTAAATTCATTTTGCTATTTTTATTGCAATATAGGGGATCTTTATATACTCTGGATATTAAGTTCTCATCCAATGATAATTTTCAAATATTTTCTCCCATTTCATGGGTTGCATTTTCACTCTGCCCATAGTGTTCCTAGATGCACAAAAGTTTAAATTTTGCTAAAAATTTTGCTTTACATCTTAGAAATGGTTGCCAAATTTAACTTTATGAAAATTTTCCCTTGTGTTATCATTAAGAGTTTTGGTTCCATTTTCAGTTAAATTTCGTATACTGTGTAAAGTAAGGGTCCAGCTTCATTCTCTTTTTCATGAGTATGTCTGGTTTGCCTAATACATCTGCTAAAAATACTGTCCTTTCCCCATTGAATGGTCATGGCTCTCTATATTACTTTGAGTTACTAAATCTCTAGTATGATTTAAGGTTACTTTAGCAAATAGATTAGTCAGAGTTTTACAGGGAAACAGAACCAATAGGATATAGGTATGAGACATTTACTATAAAGATATTGATTCACACAGTTTTGACACTGAGAATTCCCATGATCTGCTGTCTGTAAACTGGAGACCCAGAAAACCCAATAGTGTAATTTGAAGACTTAAGAGCTGGAGAACCAATGGTGTAGATTCCAGTCTCGATCTGCAGGCCCTTTCAGGAGTGCAGAAGGAGAGCAAAAGATTGATGTACCAGCAGTCAGGCAGAAATAAAATTCAGCCTTTCTTCACCTTCTTTTGTTCCGTTCAGGCCCTCAGAAAATTGGATGATACACATTGTATTAGTCAGGATTCTCTAAAGGGACAGAACTAATAAGATATATGTATATATGAAGGGGAGTTTATTAGGAGAATAGACTCACACTATCAGAAGCCGAAATCCTACAATAGGCCTTCTGGAAGCTGAGGAGCAAGGAAGCCAGTCCGAGCCCCAAAACCTCAAAAGTAGGGAGGCCAACAGTGCAGCCTTCAGTTTGCAGCTGAAGGCCCTAGAGCCCCTGGAAAATCACTGATGTAAGTCCAAGAGTCCAAAAGCTGAAGAACTTGGAGTCTGATGTTCAGGGGCAGAAAGCATCCAGCACAGGCAAAAGATGAAGGCCAGAAAACCCAGCAAGTCTCCCCACTCCACTTTCTTCTACCTGCTTTATTCTAGCCAAGCTGCCAGCTGATTAGGTGGCGCCCACCCAGGTTGAGGGTGATTCTGCCTGTACACTGACTCGAATGTTAATCTCCTTTGTCAACACCCTCACAAACACACCCCAGGAACAATTCTTTGCATCCTTCAATCCAATCAAGTTGACACTCAATATTAACCATCACACTCATCCACATTTGGGAGAAGTCTCTGCTTTCCTAAGTAGAATTCAAATATCAGACTCTTTTGCAAACATCTTCACAGACACAACTAGAAATAATGCCAGCTATCTAGGCATCCTGTGGCCCAACCAAATTAACACATGAAATTAACTATCGGTGGCTCACGTCTGTAATCCCAGCACTTTGGGAGGCCAAGGTGGATGGATCACGAGGTCAGGAGATGGAGACCATCTGGTTAACACGGTGAAACCCAGTGTCCACTAAAAAAATACAAAAAAATTAGCCTGGCGTAGTGGCGGGCACCTGTAGTCCCAGCTACTCAGGGGGCTGAGGCAGGAGAATCACTTGAACCTGGGAGGTGGAGCCACCGGTGAGCTGAGATCGTGTCACTGCACTCCAGCCTGGGCGACAGAGCGAAGCTCCATCTCAAAAAAAAAAAAAAAAAAAAAAGAATTAACCATCACAATAAATAATATGTTTTATAGGTTACAGTTATTTATTCACCCCAAATTATAAATGTTTATGGCACAAAATTGAACCTCGAGGTTCTGAAATATGTGATTTACTTTGAGGTTTTGTGTTTGGCCATTGGATCAATTTCATTTTTCATTTACTTTTCGAGATAATTGAAATTATTGGTCATAGACATCAGTTCTGTGGGCCATATGAAACTAGATTTATGTACATTTTGAAATGAGGAAAAATACGTTACCAAGGTTGATAATCATTTTAACTGACACAGACGTAAAAGTTTTCAAAAGTATAAATGGAAAAAATGTGCAATATAGAGATGTCAGTTTATGAAATGGTACATTTGTTTGTGTCAAGAGCCTCTCTCATATCTTTGGTTTGCTGGCTGTAAAGAACCAGTGAATTATACAGGTCCCCTATTCTAAGACTTTGTTCTGCTAGAAACAGTTACTAATAGACTGGAAGAAAGTGCAGGTAACTGAAATTTGCACAGTAAATTATTTCAACTATTACTGCTTCTTTAATCACACACTGCATGTCTGCCACTTCTAATAACAGCTTGGTGTCTGGCAGGCATTCTGCTTTATCTCTGAATTTCACTGCTTGTGTGATCCTTTGGGAATAAATTAGTCTAGTAGTCATTATGTGCAGTCTGAGATTAACATTCACTCTATTTTTATTGCTTCCATGTACTTTTTTCTGTTAAGAACTAACTAGCGCTGACACTTGGTCTGATCTGGCCCATGCATTCCTACTGCCTCTGGTGAAATTTCCATAGACCAACTATTACCTGCCATGTTTCTTTGTATAAATTGCTCCTTGTTTCAACAAAATAAACATATTCTCTTTTCTTTTCAGCATGGTCATATTGAATGTGACTTTATATGTCTATTTCTAAATTATTTTCTTTACTGATTTGATGGTCTCTCATTTTTCAGTCTGAGTCAAAATCTACATCTCTATAACTGTTTTCCCCTGAACCATTTTTTTCTTTCTTTAGTTAAAACGGTGAAAGTAGGGCATTTTATTATTTTCATAAAAATTTAAATGATGCCTAACATTCCTTATTCTTAAGTTAGGGTTCAAATAAAAAGTGCTATTTTATATTTTCTTCATAAAATAATTTTAACTGCTGTGACTCTCTACTCTATGAATTAAAATATTTCTTCTATCCTTACTCTATTAAAACTTGCCACACAAATTTTCTTATCAAATTGAATAAAATGTTTTCTGAAAAGTTGTTGCTATATCTTCATAAGAAATCTCAAATGTATGCATCTTATTTATTAAATAAGTTAAGTCTATTGTAATTGGCTTTAGTGCCATTCTGTTAGACATTTATTCCTCTTAGTTAAAATACATCTATCAATTTTATAAGTTAATTTGCATTTACTGTATTTCTTCCAGTATTGTCCACATATTAAAATTAGTTTTCTAAGAATAATAGTTTAGGCCAGGCATGGAAGCTCACGCCTGTAATCCTAGCATTTTGGGAGGCTGAGGCGGGTGGATCACTTGAGGTCAGGAGCTCAAGACCAGCCTGGCCAACATGGTGAAACCCTGTCTCTACTAAAAATACAAAAATTAGCTCGGTGTGGTGGCAGATGCCTGCAGTTCCAGCTACTTGGGAGGCTGAGGTGTGAGAATCACTTGAACCCAGGAGGCAGAGTTTACAGTGAGCCGAGATCACGCCACTGTACTCCAGCCTGGACAACAGAGTGAGATCCTTCCAAAAAAAAAAAAAAAACAAAAAAAGCATTATAATTTAGCAACAACTAATAATAAGTTTAGCAACTTATTATTTATCTATTTGTATTAAGGCTCAGAAATCTCAGCTTTTCAGTAAAAGTTAAAAAATTTGTCACTATTATACTTGTTTAATCAATTATACTCATTTCAAGGCATACAAACATTACTTTATGCTTTATATATTAACTGGCATTTGTTGTTATAAACCATTTTTTTAGTTTTTTTGGATAATATCAAAAATTACCAATGTTGATTATATTACAAGTCATCGTGGTGAGGTAACAGGAAAGTTTTCAATTAACAATAATCACTTCTTGAATAAACCTCTAGCTATAATACTGCCAATGTGCAAAGCTGTTATAAACTATTTGTACAAGTTTAAAAATCCACTGTGTAATTTATTATATTTGTATAACATGTTAGTTATTTTGAATTGTTTCGTTTAATAATTCTGATTAAAAGAGAAAATTCATTGAGTTTTATTAGAAAGTTTCAACATATTTCTAGCTTTATGTATTGTCTATAAATTGAAGTTCAAAGAGAGGAAATTTCTATTGAAACGTTATTTTATTCTTATACCACTCTGGGCATGTTATAACATTTTGCTTTTAAAACTATAATGTATTTAAATATATAATAAACTAGAAAAAATGTTCCATAATTTCATAAGAAGCACATATTTCTATGGTAATGCATTTACTTTTACATTATGGATAGTTAAGTTCAATATTATTAATGATTAGAATAAAGAAATTATAATGTCACATAAGTAGTGAATATATATTCTTTAATCTTCAACAGAACATAAGCATTTGACCCAGAAAGCTTCCTTCTTTGCTTTTCCACAACAAGATAGGAAGTGTATAAAAGATAAGGCTGCAAGAAATCTTACACTGTAACAGTCAATTCAAATGCTTTGTGCTGCAAATGTAACTGGGAGTCAGATATTGACAGCAAAAGACAGCTTTTGCCAGGGAAACTCCATTTAGCACTTAGGAAATGAAATATGAAAGACAAGTTAACTGATTCCCACAGTAACAATTACATGTCTATACTCTAAGAATGAAAAGAAGACTTAAACAGTTATAAAATTAATAGAGTCATTGTTAGAAAGGAACTTAAATATAAACTTTATTTGAATTTCTATGTATATTTTACTAGAAACGGTGTTTTATGGTAATTATTATAATTACAAATAATATTATACATAATATATCATATATATTATTCCATATTCCCCATATTATTATATACATAAAGTGAAACAACCTGACTCTTTGGCTACAGGCTTTTTGTACTGCAAGGTTGGAAAAACATGGGTCTATTCCTTGAACAGGTAAGAGACTGTCGTCCAAACACTTAATGTTGTAGTAATATCATAAAATTAGGTTTGTGGCCTGAGCTACCACCTTAGATCTCTACCAGATTGGTTAACTTTGGTAATTGATTGAAATCATTTCCCATAGCACTTTTAAATAATCAAGTTTCTTAGAAGTGTTAGATATTAACACTTAGCTGGGAGACATTAAATGATAACCAGAAAGGGGCTTGATGATCATTCTCAGTAAGTAGGTAAAGTTGACTGGGGTGAGATTAAAGAGGTCTCTGTCCATGCACAATTTCACTAATACAACTGATATGACACACCCAATTCATAGATATAAAAAGTAGAGTGGTGGATGCCAGAGGCTGAGGGAAAGAGGAAATGGGGTGTTATTTCTTAATAAGCAAAGAGTTTCAGTTTGGAAGCTGAGAAAGTTTTGGAGATATACGGTGGTGACGTGATGGTTGCACAATAATGTGAATGTATTTAATGCCACTGAATTACACACTTAAAAATGGTGAAGATAGTAAATGCTACGGTATGCATATTTTATCATAACAATGGAAATGTGACCAGCATACAAACTCTTGGAGAATAAAGGTATTCAATGCTGTAGTCTGAATGCTGGTGTCCCCCTCAAAATTTATATGTTGAAATCCTAACTCCTAAAGTGATTGCATTAGGAGATGAGAGTTTTGGGAGGTGATTAACTCATTAGGACAGAGCCCTCATGAATAAAATTAGCGTCCTTATAAAAGAGGCCCAAGACAGCTGCTTTGCCTCTTCCATCACATGAGGACACAGGAACAATGTGCTACCCATAAGGAAGAGGGCTGTGACCAGACACTGAATCTGTGGGTGGCTTGATCTTGGACTTCCCAGGCTCCAGAACTGTAAAAAACAAATATTCGTTGTTTATAAGCCAATCATTTCTGATATTTTGTTATATCAGCCCAAATGGGCTAAAATATTTAAGTATAAAAAAAAATAGAGAAAAAAATATTTTATCTCTTTTTGGGAAGTCATTTCTGAAACAATGAAAAAATGAAAAACTACAAGGAAAAATAGTTTCAGATATAAGAATATTTAATATATATAAATTTAAAAATTAAAAATAAAGGTTCATAATATCTGATATATATTTATATTATATTTATATAGATAATGCTAAGATAATGACTGAAAAATAGGTATGCAATAATGTCAATTTCTTAAGGGTCTAAAAAAATGTTCCAGTGTTTCACTAGATAGTAATAAAATGTGTAATAAAATGATATTCCATTTTCAACTATAAAACTAAAAATCTCCCCTTTTTGTTTACATTTACAATGGTCAATACTGGCAAAGATCTGGAACATGAATGTCTGTTTCTTTGTACCCGACTGAATTGCTATGATGTATTTGGAAAAGCATTTACTAGATGTGTCAAAGCGAGATTTTTAAAACGTCAGTTATTTTATGTCTCTCATGAACAGCACTGTGACTTAAACTGAAAAATGTAGTAATAGATATTTTTATTCTTATATTTTGGAATTTCTAAACTTTGTTTACTGGCCGTATATATTGCAGTGATAATCAGAAAGCCAACACTCACTGAATGCTATTTTTAAGAAAAAATATATATCTAGTTTGAAGACAACTTAAATATAATGTTTCATTCATCTTCTATAACTGAAACTTTGCACCTTTTGACCAACAGCTCCCCACTACTCACCCCCCGCCCCCCATCCCACCACCAGCCTCCAGAACCCATCTTTCTGTTATGCTTCTATAAGTTTAGCATTGTGGGCAGTGTTTCCTGGGTTTCACTTATCTCCAAACTACGTACAGCTTTTTTATATCAACATCTCTCAATAAAGCAGTTTATAAATAGTAATCTGGTCAACCCTAGTGACATTAATAAAGGCTCTGTTAGTAGCAGGAGGTCTGAGGGATTTCAGAGCTGAACAAGGAAAAAGCCATGACCAGAAGGCGGCAGCAGCACACACGACTTTACTGGGGGATACATTGGTTTGCACGTTCTCCAAATCCTCACTTCGGGGAACGTCTAGAAGAGGAGAAGGGCCAGTGAACTCTGGAGAAAAGGGGTATTGGAGAGGGGACTTACATATCTCAGTGATGTTCCCCAGTAGCCTGAAAGATTGTCTCTGGGTCAGAGACCTCTGAAGAGCAGCAACAGCTGGTCGATGGGCATAACTTTGTGAGGACAAAGTGCCTAAAAATCTGTTTATTTGTTGTTTATAAACCAACCTTTTTGTGGTATTTTGTTGTAGCAGCCCAAATAGACTAGGATATTACATGTTTATAAAAATTAATATAGAAAAAAATATTTTATTTCTTTGCTGGGGAAACATTCCTGAAACCATTAAAACACAAGAAACATTAGATTTATAAAATTTTGAGTTTGGCACTAGCAGACTTTTGAGTGAACAGATCTCAGCATGCTGTGAAGAAATAAACATCTTAGGAGCTAATATACAGAGACCATCTTTGACTCATCTTTATAACACATTGAAGTACTTCATTTAGAGAAGATGCTCAGTAAATCTTTCATTTGCATTGAAAGAAATATTAATTTTACACTTCAGAAAATATAATTCAAAGACAATAAGAGACTTGGTTAAATTTACTCAAATGACTAGGCAGAGTTAGTTATATCACTGGGTTCTTCTCATTTAGAACCAACTCTTCTTTCCATCATTATTATTTTCTCAAACATTGTTAATAAACTTAATACATTTCCACATGTAGTTCCAAACCTTCAATGTATAAATGTACTTACCTAATTCAATTTCCACTTTTTGTGCTGGAAAAAAAATCAAAGGCACTCTGATTCATAGTGAATGAAAGACAATCTTATTTTCCACAAACTTCTAAACATGGCAAAAAAAAAATTGTAATTGTCTTAACTTTTAATTTTCTCCATGGTGTAGATATATCGATATATACATAAATATGAATGTATTCTCAGAGTACTCTTCTAGGTTTTATTATGGGACATTATTTTTATGATTAAAAAAGGAAATGTAGTATTCATATATCACTGCTGTGATGTGTGAAGCCGATTGTTTGGTAAAAAGAATTCTGAGCTACAGGTTCTTTGATATGTATTCCAATTCTGACTCACCCAATGACACAAATATTGATGTATTAGTTCATTTTCACACTGCTAATAAAGACATACCTGAGACTGGTAATTTATAAAGGAAAGATGTTTAATTGACTCACAGTTACACATGGTTTGGGAGACCTCACAATCATGGCAGAAGGCAAATGAAGAGAAAAGTCACATCTTACACATTGGCAGACAAGAGAGAGCATGGGCAGGGGAACTCCCTTTTATACAATCATCAGATCTCATGAGACTTATTCACTATAATGAGAACAGCATGGGAAAGACCTACCCCTATAATTCAATTACCTCTCACTGAGTCCCTCCCATGACACGTGGAGATTATGGGAACTACAACTCAAGATGAGATTTGGGTGGGGACACAGTCAAACCATATCAACTGATGATTTTAGAAAATACTAGAACTACATTTTAAATATATTAACTTGCAGGATATTTGTTTACATGTAGAATCTCAAAAAAAGATGAGAATATTCACAATTTGGGGTATTAAATTTACAATTGCCAGAAATTTATGAGAAGTGATATTGCCCTTTGTAGCCTTAAATATTAATTAGTGCAAGTTGCATAACTGTAATATAAAATTAATGAATTAATTTCTGTACTTGTTTATATTTCTTTGAATGCAGATAATACTGTATGTCATTGTTAGAAATTCTCTATTGTTCTATATTATTCTAAACTTCATGGCTTGCTGAAGATGCAGATGATCATGCTTTAACAATAAAGTATTTTAAAATTATGTACATTGATTTTTCGATAAAATACTATTGCTACAGTATAAAGTAAATTATTAATATGCATATTAAGAAAACTATAGTGTAAATGTAACTTTTATATGTACCAAGCAACCAGCAACCAAAAAAATGTTTGACTTTCTTTACTGTGATACTTTATTGAGGTGGTCTGAAACTTAACCCACTATATTTCTGTGGTACACCTGCATTCCTTATTTCTCATAGACAAAGCAAGAAAAATTGTTAGAATTCAGCTGAGTACACTAGTATATCAACATTTTATTTATTTTTTTGAACAAATTGCTATTACTAAACATAATTCTTCCTGTGAAAATTATTATAAAAGAAAAAAAACTATTTTTATGAAATGGCACCGAAAATATCAATTTTGTTTGCACTTAATGAAGGCAAGAAGAAAGGACTCCAGCAGAGAAATTTAAGTTTTGAGTATAAAAAAGAAAATCAGTGGCTATTCAGAGCAGTGTGTAATCTCTTACTTGTTGAGGAATAGTTTAAACAGTACACGATATGAAGCTAATACCAAATGTAGAGTCATACCTGAAATAGACATGTTTTATATATAATCATGAAATACTTATGTATGTCAGGACATTAAAAAGAGAATAACATGAGGATTGAAACAATATACATCCCACGCTTTTCAACTTGTATATATTTTTCAATTACATAAATTAACTCAATAAAATTGTTAGAACTCTGACCACATTGAAACAACTAACAATGGTGAATAGATCTTTTCCTAGGATGGTGATGACATAAGTCAGATCTCAATTTACATCTTTAAAAACTATAGAGTTTTATGAAGAGGGTAAGTAAAACCACTTATCATTCACTTCTACAGAAGGCCTAAGAGGAAAGAGAACTCCGAAAAATTTAACTTACACATAAATGGGATGATAAACTGCTGAAACCAGAGGAGGAAGCTCATGAGCCCATAACAGAGCACAGAGTGAGGCAGGAAAAAAGAAAAGTGTGGTAGAGTTCTAGTGGTAAGAGGCATGGATATTAACCCTTTGAGAAGAGTCTGTTTCTGAAAGAAAAACAACCAGAACAGGAGCCAGGCTTTGCAAATACAAGCCCTGGCTACTGTGTAATTGAATTAGGCTCTCGATTGCTCATGGAGTTAGAATTGGCATCCTTGGGACCGCAGTGCGGAGGACAGGAACTCGGAAGGGAGAGACATATCGTGTTGACTTTATATAGAAGAAAAGAAAGAATACGACCTTAAAGCCCTACAGTAAAAAATAAAAATAAAATAACAATTCTGAAAACAATAGTTTTTTTGCTACGGAAGTATTTATTGAAATAAACACATTTTCTTTTACTAATAGTAGAGTTGATCTTGCAGTAAGAATCTCAGTAAGCTAATAAAACATATTACAACATCCAAAGAAACAATTGTTACTGTCTCTCAATGAAAATTCAAAACAGTTAACACAAAAAAGCCATATATAAAAAGCTATTATCACACAGCATAGATAAAATGTACACATGATGAAAATATTAAGCTAGCAGGAACAAAATTGTAAAATAGAACTCCAACATAAACTACATATTTTTAAACTAGCAATTGCAACTTTAAAAGCACAAAATGAATCAGGGAATTTTAAATCTCACAATACATTTTTTAAAAAAGTAAGACATGAGAACATAATTCGGAACATTCACTAAACAAACTCACCAAACCAAGCCAAAAGAAAGACAGATTTACAAGATGCCCAGAAAAATCATGTCTCACTGTGAGGGAAAAAAACAAACAAACAAATAAACATAAAAACAAAAAGGGGATGTGAATTAAAATAAAACACTGCGATAAAATATTAAAAATACATAAAATATTTTGAATATCCTAATCCATTATTTATATAAAGATATGAAGAAAGAATAAATAAAATAAGCAGATAGAAGTAACATTTAAAACTACTATTGATAGTTTCAACACAACTTGAATGTTTCAGCAGTAACTAAGAAAATTTTACTATGACTGACTATTTTAGGATATAACCTGATAAAATTATTAGACCTAAAAGTCACATGAAAAACAACAATGACAAAACCCCCAGGCAAAGAGGCTAAGGCATTTGCAAAAAAAAAAAAAAAAAAAAAAAAAAAAAAAATATATATATATATATATATATATATATATATATATATAAAAGTAGAAACAGGTCAACACCAGCTTTCTTGACAACATACAATATAAGACAACAGTGAAATAATATTTTGAAAAACACAAAGAAAAAAGATAAGCAAAATTTTAAAATTCAGATAAGCAATCATTCAACTATAAAGGATAGGAGAATGATTAAATATTCAAGAATGAATGTAGGCATAAGTTCTTTCTGAGAAATCCATATTCGTGAAATTTCAATGAAGAAAATGGTCATCATCCAATATATTTAATTGCAGTAATAAGATTCAAAGGAGGGAACAAAATTAACTAATAATATTTAAATTGTATAAATTCTATAAAAGTGAAAATAAATAATATGACAGAAAGGAAACAAAAAATTGAAAGTAAAATAAGCTCATTGGTGTTTGCAAAAGTCATGGGTGAGAGTCAAGGATACTATACAAAGCTAATAAAATAAAATGCAGTCACCTAAATATTGAAAAAGGAGACTAAGGACATTATGAAATAAATTAGTATAGGTAACCACTTGAACTAAAACAAAATCTTTATAACTATAAATACAAGAATTAGCAAAATAGAACAAAGAAAACACTTTATACAGAGATACGCTTAATACTACATAAAAGAACTTAAGATCTCATGAAAAAAATGAAACTAAGCATATCAGTCATGTCAATATTATAAATCGGCTTAAATATTCTGCTTCTGGATTTGTTCACTAATCAAAATCTAAGTTTATTCTGTACAAGGACTTATGTAAACTAGACATAAACATAAAGCCTAAAAGGATAGGAAAAGGATACCAAGCAAATACAAGCAATGAGAAAGCAGGTTGTAATATTCATAGCAGACAAGGTTCTCAGAAATATTTTTTGAATGCAAGAATGCATGAATTTGTGGGGGATTTGTTCTGAGAATATAAGAACTCATGCCCTCACCCAACAAATCTGTATATAGTTATGGATAAGAAATAAATAGCCAGATTACATTTGATTAAAATAAATGAATGTTCTGATTTATTGGATAAGCCACCTTATAAAATACATTAAAATATATTTTTATTAAATCATAGATTTCACAGCAATCAGAACACATGAAATAAAGTTTTATTAGTTCACACCAAGTTTTATTAGTTCACACAAACTTTTATTAGTTCACATAAACTTCTGTGAGTAGAGAAGTTTTTTAAAGTTATCTGTTTTGGTTTTAATCAAATAAGCATGATAAGTATATGCATAATAAGATTTGGAAGTGGGAAATTGAAGAGATTAAAAAACCATAACTTTATGGAAAATACACATATGATAATTACACATTGGGTGTATTCTGCATTGCTTTTCTGCTAAGCTGTTACAAATGATAGGTATTGCTAATATAAAGGGGGGAATGGGAAGGATTTGTGTTGCCTCTTAGTATTACTGAAAACTCACGGTCAGATCAGAATTTACACTTTCTGAAGGTGATGTTCAAAGGCCTTCAGCACTGCCTGAAAGCTCCATGTGTACATACAAGACGCATCTCTGAAAGACATGATGATTATTACTTCATATTCAGGAAAACTCAGCAGTATTAATGCAGTGATTAAAATAAGAGAGTACAAGATAATGAAGATGCTGGGGGCAGAGTGGCAACGCCTTATTGGCAGTGATGAATAGGGCTTACTCTCCATAAGTACCACAAGCTTGTTCAGTGTGGGTACTCGTGCTGAGTTCCATCAGCCAGAAAATTGGCTGTTGAGGGGATTAAAGTGAAAGCAGATGTTTCACTAACACATCCTCAAACTGACAACTTATGACTAATGTAGGCCAGCAGAGTCACATCTGCCTATTGACTACAGGAAGCTTTGACATACATAATTTAAAAATGTTTTGATTGTGTTGGTACCATGTTTCCATGATAAGAGGGAAGAAAAGATTCCGCAAAAGAAAAAGGCAGAAGGGAGACCTAAACCAAAGTTGAGTGATCCACCCCCAGAACCATACAGCAAATTGTATTTCATGGCTATACCCCCTTTGGCTCTGTTTCAAACTTTTATTTTTGTAAAATGTATTGCCAGGTATAGAGAACCAGGACAATGTTATTTTTAAAACAATTTAATGTTCACAGTCTAACAAAACCAGAGAGAACTTATGTACCTACAAGTCAGTAACATTTCACAGATGATTTCTGTCCTGATTTCCACTGGCTGACACTTAAGACTTCTCAACAAATGTCTAATGTATGACATGAACAACTCAAAGTGGTCTCTTTCGAGGGGTCAAAAAAGTAACTAGGAAAACTAACCTCATTATTTGTCAACCATATTTTATGATTAAATCTATTTTTTATGTTCTCATCACTGTGGAAATAACCCATCATTTTTCTGTGTCTTATTGCCTGAAATTCAACGTGTGATACAAAGTCAATTTGATCATAATAAATCTTGGTGCTTCCATTGTACTATATTAGATTGAAGATGGGGCTATATATGAGGGCATATGTGCATATTTCTGTTGTATTCAAATAAAATTATGGTCACTTTGTCTCATTATATTTAACAAGGGGCCATAGTATTTATTTACAATGAGTTTTAACAGCATGTAATTACTATTAATTACTCTTTTTGTTGCTCATGAGTCTCTATTCCATTCTATTTTTGTTTCAGAGAGATATTGTCAGATGTTCATTTCATTTGATTTTTAATTATTTTCTTCAATTTTGAAAAAAGAAAACAAAGATTTCGGATCTGAGGTAATTAACCTTCCAATTTAATTCTGATACTTGCTAGAACCATGAAAATTATAAAACTTTTATTTGGTATCTATTATGTTCAGTATGAGATCTATAAATGATATTTAGATACAAACATATTTTGCAAGATTTTGAAATACAAAATAGTTAATAAAATATGGACAAAAATATACCACAGGTAGAAAACTATGGGTCATAAAATAGCAGTTAATCAGAGTCGTGTATTATTTAGAGAAGAAATCATTTTGTCATAGGTTGTGAAAGATCGAAAAATATTTTGGATTAATTGAGATAAGCTTTAAAGTTTAAGCAGATTATGGTGAAGGGAGATGAGTGAAGACTAAGAAACATGTGTATAGAATCAATGGAGACATGGAAAGCCCAAAAACATAAGAAGCAGTTTATTTTGCATAGGTCCTGGACTTCATTAAAGGAATTAGAAAAAGATAAAGCATATTTTGAAAAGAAGGAAATCCTGTCATTTGCAACAACATGATGAAACTAGAGGACATTATGTTAAATGAAATAAAGCAGGCATAGAAATACAAATATTGTATGATCTCACTTATATGTGGAATCTAACAAAATTGAACTTATAAATCAGAGAGTAGAATGGTGGTTGCCAGGACTGGGGTGGTCTGGGGAAATGTTGGTCAAGGGATTCAAAATTTCAGCTAGATACGACGTTAAGTTAGACAGTTACATTTGGGAGATCTACTTACAATATGGTGACTGCTATGAGTAACAGTGTCTGTACACCAAGTGAGTAGATTTGAAATTTTCTTACCTTACAAAAGTAATAAGTATGTGAGGTAATGGATATGTTAATTACCTTGACTTAACCTTTTGCAATGTATACATAATATTGAAAAATTGCATTGTACAACATAAACATACATATTTTTCATTCGTTAGCTAAAAACATTTAAAAAGAAAAAAGATAAAGCTGAGAATGTTGAGTGAGGTTAGTTCAAGCAGAAAATTAAATATCGGGAAACTACAATTGAGGAGTGAAAAAAGACACTGACAAATTTGTTGCCATTGCTTCTCTTTGTTTGTTTGCTTGGAAAGTGACATATTATCAGACCCTATGGGAGAGCTATGAAAAAGAAATAAAAGAAGAGTTTTATGGATATTCTAGGCAAAACACACTGAGAACAGGAACAAGAGAATTGGCAGTAGTGCTGTACCAAAGAATAATATTGGTTGTGTTTTAGAATTGCCTTTGTATCTCCTTAAGGCAATAAAATGGAAAACATATGCTATTTTTTTGAATGAAAAGTGAGGTAAAAGTCTCAACTTAGCTATTTATCTAATTTGAATTAAAATATGCACCATATCACAGTTAATATTGTACTGGTCATTGAGATCAAGTAATAAAAATATGATACCTAAATAATTTTCAGATACTGTGTCCTGTAAAGAACTTCAGTTTTCTGATTTACTTTTAAGAAAAAAAAAAGTCACATTAAAATAAAATGTCCCTTCGTCTTTGTCTCACTCTGACTTGATGATGAACAATAAATTTTTCTTAGAGAAGACTGAGTCTTATTTATGGTATAAGGATGTGAAAATGACCTCTTCCTTTCCATCACACATTGAGACATAACTCAAAGGCAGTCACTTTTCATATATGATCATATCAAACAACAGCTGTTGCTGCTCTTATTCCAAGGAGACTATCATCAGTATATTTCTCACAATTTAATACACTGCAAGGGAAATTTTAAGGGTATACACAGAGTGAAAATACCTTGTCTTAGAATCAGAGCAATGAAAACAAAGGATTATTCTAAATAGCACTATTTTATTGTTATTCATAATACACATTATATTTTCCTTAATGAATATGCCTAAAACAAAGTAACCATATAGCTAGGCTTAAGAGAGTTTGGACAATTTAAAACAGAAGAAATTCTACAACTATTCAGTCAAAATTATAAGATATATTAGTTGGTGATGGTGAAGTTCAAGGGTGTAAGGCAAAATCAAAATTGATTTCAAGTTTTTGTATAACCAGGAAGATAAATGTGTCATTTTGTAACTGGGTAGCAAGAAAGCACAGACTGTTTTTGGATAAGGTATCTTCAGGAGTTTGATGACAAATTTCATGTTGAAGGTTTTTTGAATTTTAAATGCCATTTTGTTGTTAGAAAATACAAAAGAGGAAAACTTCATTATAAGTAAGAGCTTGATTAATGATTGTGGAAGAATTGTAGAGTATTTGTTAGGAACCAGTAATATCAAGATGACTAGAAAATCTACATTAGCTTGTTAGGCTTTTAGCTTCATGGAGGCAAAACCTAACTATGTCAGATCATGAACATGGAGAACACGCCCCTTCTTTTCTTCTACAGCACTTATGTGGCACAAGGACATGGAATAAATATGAGAAAGTACTCTCTAGGAGACCCACAGAAAGAGTATTTTCCAAAAAAGTGGAGCTATTTAGATAAAAAAGTAGAGATAAAATAAAGAATGAAAATAAATAGAAGATGAGAAAAAATAAAATGTGAGAATTGATATAAATAATAACCTTATATATACTGGTGCTATATTGCAGTTTTATGTCAATCAGTATGGAATGAAAGTACCAGATTTCACAATCACAAAAGATAGAAGGGTGATACAAAGAAGATGTGTGTTAAGATCCTTGAGGAATGAGTGAGACGGTCACTCTAATTGCATGAACAAATAATTACACAGAATATCTCACATCTAGAATTGCCGCACCCCAGGTGCAGAATTAACTTTAGCATATTTATGTGATCTTGATAGGACAGTATTTTAGTTTTGTAGTCACAGGACTGACTGCCAAAATTTTAATTCATAGAATGTTTGCACAGGTTACTTACTGACTTATGGTTGAATTCAAACCATCAGTGTTGCTCTTTTGAGAAAGTTAAGAGAACAATTAAAAAGAAAATAACTCAAAAAGTAAAAATCAAAATATTTGGCACATATTAAAGACCTAAAAACTTCTCTCATACCAAAGGGCAAAAAAATGTTTTTATTCACATAGGGAGTCACTACTTTAATGAAAAGAAAACTAACTCTTCTGCTATTGACCAAATGCCCATGGACACCTGGAATCAACCTGCTCTTGGAGTTCAATGAAGATTTTGTGTAGCAATCAGAGTCACAACCTGAAGAGTGTTATTAGTAATGATTTAAAAGGATATTTGAGCAAGGAAGGTGGGAAACAATTTTGTAGTAAGCCAAAATTCAAAATGCTAGATATATTGGATTAATTTTATTTGGGGTAAGCACAAAAATATGATATCACCAGATTGCCATTCGATTTATGTGGACCTTAATGTAACACTGGTCCACCTCAAAGGGCATCTAAATGTTAGAAATAGTTTGTCAATTTAAGATAAAGGATATTAAAAGTTAAATGCCAGTTTTTAATAACTATGTATATTAGTTTGTTCTCATACTGCTTTAAAGAAATACTTGAGACTAGGTAATTTATAAAGAAAAGAGGTTTATTTGGCTCATGTTTCTACAGGCTGGACAGGAAACATGGCTGAGGAGGCCTCAGGAAGCTTACAATCATGGTGGAAGGTGAAGGAGGAGCCAGCACTTCAATATGGCCAAAGCAGGAAGAAGAGAGGTGGGAGAGAGGTGCCACACACTTTATATATATATATATATATATATATATATATATATATATATATATATATATATATATATATATATATATATATATATATATTATACTTTAAGTTCTAGGGCACATGTGCACAACGTGTAGGTTTGTTATGTATGTATACATGTGCCATGTTGGCATGCTGCACCCATTAACTCATCATTTACATTAGGTATATCTCCTAATGCTATCCCTCACCCCTACCCCTACCCCACAACAGGCCCCAGTATGTGATGTTCCCCTTCCTGTGTCCAAGTGTTCTCATTGTTCAATTCCCACCTATGAGTGAGAACATGCAGTGTTCGGTTTTTTGTCCTTGCAATAGTTTGCTCAGAATGATGGTTTCCAGCTTCATCCATGTCCCTACAAAGGACATGAACTCATCGTTTTTTATGGCTGCATAGTATTCCATGGTGTATATGTGCCACATTTTCTGAATCCAGTCTATCATTGTTGGACATTTGGGTTGGTTCCAAGTCTTTGCTATTGTGAGTAGTGCTGCAATAAACATACGGCTACACACTTTTAAACAACCAGATCTCATGAGAACCGTATCACAAGAACAGCACTGGGGAATGGTGCTAAACAATCAGGAACTGCCCCGATGATCCAATCGCCTCCCAGCAGGTCAGCCTCCAACACTGGGGATTACAATTGAACATGAGACTTGGGTGGCGGCACAGTTCCAAACCATATCACTATGTATGTCTCATAAAGCCACTTTTAAGTATGTCCTTGAAGAATCTTTCTTCCCCCACTTATGGTAAAGAATAGATTCAGCTATAGAATGCCAGAATTTTTTGGTTTTGTTTTGCTTAATTCTGCTCTCTTAGAAATTCTTGGGGCAGCATTACAATTACAGTGTTTTTTCTGATCTCAGCAATACCAGTGGATAGTAGAAATACAGGATGACCCAACACGGTGCTTCTCAGTTTTTCTGATTTCATGGCACATATAGAAAATATTATTTGTAAAATGGGTATAGCATGTCAAGGTAAGGCAAGAAAGTGGATTGTGTCCAAAGGAGACTGGCCAGTGGACTTGAGTTACCTCAGACCATGTCTGTCTGACTAAAAGAACTGAGTGTGTTGACATTACAGCACATCAGCAATCCATTTGATGCCTAACATTGTGATCTTAAAAACAACATTTTGTCCCAGAGATATGCCCTACCTATAGATGCTCCAAAGCCAGAATAAACATAATGTCATCACCCTGATGAAAAATAGGGTGGAGATAATAATCACATCTGCAGAAAAGACAAGTATACATAATTTTCACTGGCAATGAATGATCAATTATGGGGATTTTGAAAAGAAGGAAATAAGAAAGTTATATTATTTATTTGATTCATGTAAGAATGAATCCTACCAAATAACTTTAGTTTTGAAGCACAAACCAGAATTGAGCCATTAATCTAAATCTTAGGTCCTGTCCAATTTTTGAGATAAGTTGAGAGAACTTGAATGAAAAGGAACTGACGTACACTTGAAGGATTCCAATGTAACATCATAATTTTGTTCTGGAAAACTTCCCTCCAGATTATTTTAAGAAAACTGTGGCATGTAAACTGGTGACAATAGCCTGCTTAGGCAAAAGGATATGTCTAAGCATTTCAGAAATTTTGAATCTGAAATCCATGGAAATAGCAATTACTCCCATTTATGACTGCTTTAATTCCTTTATATATAATGCTCTTCCATAAATCAAGAATCTTATTTTTAAGATTGCCGTAATAGTAAGTCATTTCTTTTAGGATTGTTGCTTTTTATGTTTACTTTTAAAACACTTGTTTACCTATAGATATAAAAATAGGGTAATAGGTTTTGAAGTGTTTATAACTTTGCTTTTCATATTTAAGTTTAATCTACTGAAAGATGATTGTTATACATCTTGACAATTCTTATTATTTGATCATTCATATATATGCTGACTTTATTTTGTCAAATTCCAAAAAAGCATATTGATATTTTCACTAAAAGTTTTTCCAGTCTGTAGTCCAATTTTGGAATAATTGACATGCTTTCCTGTACATGAGCATGATGTATCTCTCATTAATTTAGCTTGTTTATTATGTATTTCTATAAAATGCTATATTGTTGTTAAAAGAGTTTCTTAATGTACCTTGTTAAAAATATTCTTTAGTACATTGAACTTTTGTTGTATTTGTGCAACTATTGGCCATTATTATATCATCATTTAAACTATGCTAATTTTTTTTTTTTTTTTTTTTTTTTGAGATGGAGTTTTGCTCTGTCACCCATGCTGGAGTTCAGTGGAGCTATCTCGGCTCACAGCAAGCTCCGCCTCCTAGGTTCATGCCATTCTCCTGCCTCAGCCTCCCCAGCAGCTGGGACTACAGGCACCCGCTGCCACGCCCAGCTAATTTTTTTTTTCTATTTTTAGTAGAGATGGAGTTTCACCATGTTAGTCAGGATGGTCTCGATCTCTTGAGCTCGTGATCCGTCTGCCTCGGCCTCCCAGAGTGCTGGGATTACAGGTGTGAGCCACCGCACCCGGCCAAACTATGCTAATTTTATGTTAGATATATGCACAAGTGAAATCTATTTTGGGAGTATTTATTTTATTTCAATAAAATTTGTAGAAATCCCTCCTGTTAATTCTAATAATTTGTTATTCTGATTTTATTTTTTGGATCTCAAATGTGTACTAAATTTTTTCAAATACATTTTCTTCACCTTCTGAGGTGATCACATGAATTAACATGGTGATTTAAAATGATTTATTGGTACACTAAGCTAAGATTCCTTGAGTAAATATTGTACTTGATATTTTAAAATTTAAATACTTCAAAATCACTACTGTTAATCCCCTCCAATTAAAAGACACTACAAATACTTAAGTCTGATCACCTCCAACTAGTTTACGTTTTCGTTATACATCATTGTAGTATTACTTACTACACTTTTTAACCTCACAATTATAAATATCATTGTTATTCTTCCTCCCTCCTCCTCATCATTTGTATACTTGTATTATTCAGTCAATATATAAATTTAGGCACTTCCTGTAGTGTGTTCATTAAATTATCTTTCTTTAATATTATCTTGACAAAAATAAAGTGGTTTTGATTATTTGCAGTGTATTTTTTACCCTCATGATTGACAAATAATTTCAGGAGCAGATGATCTAAGTAGACAGTTATTTATTCTCAGCTCTTTACAGTTATTATCATACTTTTCCTTTATATTATCGCTTTTAAAAACTTCCTGGCCATCATATTGTTTTTTGTCGTAGTGGTGGTTAATCTTCCTTTTTTCCCTGATTGATTTTAATGTAGTATTTTTGCCTTCATTTTGATAATGTTTCAGCTTAGATTTGTACACAAAATAGTTGATTTTTATTTATTTTCTAGTTGATTTTTTATTCATTTTATTTTTATTTATTTTCTATTTATGTTCTTTTAGCTCTAGTTTCGTATCTTTTATTCAGCCTGGAAAATTCACACACTGATTCACTTTCCGTTTCAAGCCTTTTCAATTCCTAATCCTTTTCGTCTGACTATTCTTTCATATTTAAAGTTTTTTATTTTCTTCAAAGTGTATTGTCGATAATCTTTTAAAATATATTGTCAATTAACAGAGTTTTTATTCCTTTGTGACTAATCTGGTGCTTTATCCATTAATTGATGTTTGTTTCTGAGTTAATTTTTCATATCCAGAGTTATATACTTTTTTCTACTTCTTGGTCATTGTAAGTGGTTCCATTTTCTCAAGTTGTCAACAAAATTTGTTATATATTTACTTGGTTTATCCATGGTTATTTTATATCCTATTTTTGAAAATAAAAGGCTTTGACAGCTTTGAGCACAAACACATTCCTGTTTATTGGTTATATTAATTCTTAGGCATAATAATCTGTTTTTTTGATTAGTGAACTATTATTAGATCATGTTTAATTAAATTTAGCATGTGAGAATCTATAGTTTCTGCATTGAGGATTTATTGTTTAATCCAGGGAAGTCTTTCACTTGTGTCTGTTAAGCACCGGAATTACAAAGTGCCTAGAAGAATTTCATCTCTCAGCCCGAGAATAATGTAAATTCATGAATGGACAAGCTAGCTCCTTCCTGGTTGAAAGTCTATGGAGAAAGATAGTGGGACATGTGTGACAGACAATGACTTCTTTCATAAGTGTTTTAAAAGGATAAATAATATGAACCTGTGTGCTAAAGCATTTCTGGATATATCTGGCCTGCAGTTTCTCCCATTAACTCTGGGAAAGTTAATGTAGATAACTAATCACATAATTTCATACAAATATTGTGTTTTATTTTCTTACCCATCAGCATTACTATCTGGAACAAACCAAGAGTTGGAAATACAGCAAGCTGTTACTCTCGGTGTCCAGCATTAGCTGGTCTGGGACGGGGGCGTCTATCTGCCTTTACTGCTATCCTTATTGCAACTATCCTAGAAGGTAGAGCATCCCCAGAGGAGACTAGAATCCTGCACTCAGCATTTGGAAGACAAAGCAATGTTACATGTTCCTGATCTCAAATCATGGTAATAGAACTCACAGATCCGTGTTGAGATGCACTCAGCTTAATCAGGTTCAGATACTGAAAAGCAGGATTTGGCTTTAAAGATTGAGTTTTCAGGAAGGATTCATTAAGCCCAGGCCAGTGCATATTTGATTTATAAAATGAATAGTTTCCAGAAAGGCTTCCAATTTACCTGAGAGAACCATGAAGGAGCTGATATAGTTCTCCATTAAGAGAGGGTTTCTGTAGAAGAAGCTAGAAAGAATTGGAGCCCAAGTAAACTCCTAGTTTAGGGGCAGGAAAAAAACTCTGGAGTTATAGCAAAACTTTAGACAAATTTCTTAAGGCTAAGGAGTTAAGAATAAGCACAAAATAAATGCTGCCTCTGAAAAAAATTATGATAATTACTTGATTAGTAGGAAAAGAAACACGGAGATAGATTGTAGTGATTACAGGAATGCAGCAGATTCTCCCTGTGAGCTCTGACTAGGCAACTTCAGCAATGAAAGGAAAAAATATCCATGATACAAAAAATAATAATCTAACAGCTTTCTTGATTGAAGTAGAAACTATTTAAAAAAAGCAGAGTCATAGGATGACATAAAGAAGAGACATTCTCACCTTATTCTATACTAAGAGATAGTCACTATCTCTATAATTCTCTTACAGGATCTTAGAGAATTTCAGTAAATTTCCAAAGTTCTTTTATTTAGGATGTGAATAGAAGACCTTGAAATTAACTGAAAGCTCCAGACTACGCTCTCTTTATCGTTAGTTTTACTGAGCCCCAGAAGAATTCACTGATATTGTAAAGCCAATGTTATAAGTAAGAATATTCTACAAGTCATTAATTGATGAAAACATAACTTGGGGTGAAATGTAAAACTACTTTTAAAAGTAACACAAAAATTATCCTTTTATATCAAATACTATTTTAAATAGCAATTTATTATAAATATGTAAAATAATAGTTATCAGAGATTAAATATGTCTCTCGAATTCATAATACCTACTTATCATGGCAAAGCAAAATTTTGAAAGGATGAATACAGTTTGTTATTTTTCCCCCTCTGGGTTGCCTAATAACCAGGTTGTTGACTGAAGTGACTGGTCGTTTTATTTATTAAGCAAACATAACCTAAATACTATGGAAAAGAACATCAAGTGTTTCCAGAAAGCAGATTTTAGAGCTGAATGTCTGATGCTAATGCTTCTGTTTTTCTCTCCTTTAAGGCGTCTACTCTGGAACATTTGAAAGTGTTAAATTCATAACCAAAGATAGAGAGCAAACATGGAAAGCAATGGTTTCCAAATTTTATTACGCATTTTGAACTAAGTAATATAATTGCTGAAGAAAAATCAAGCTGCCTGCAAATTGATAGGATACAGGACTGATATGGTCACTTTCTGGCATTCTTATATATTCATCAATTTTAAACATTTGATGAATATGCAACACAACTAGATTTTAATACCAATAAATTATTTTTATCACATATTGCTCTATACCACATATCCACGTCTCATAAAACATTATGAGACATATACAATTATTATCTCCATTTCAGAGATGAAAAACCTAAGACTGAGTGGTTAAATAATTCATTTATAGTCACATGTTTATGACATAGCAGAGCTAAGCTGTTAACATAGTTAACCACTATTCTATATTCCTTCTCTAAAAATACTTGTCTTATTAGGAAAAGAATAATTAATGCAAAAAAAATCTACATGTCGAAGCACTTTGCCAAAACTGTCTCATTATTATCAAAATAAATATATTTAATTATATGATATTTTATGAAAAGAAATCTAAATGTGAATTTTATCCATACATATATTTGATAATTTTTTTTGTATTTCTCCTTTGATTTGGTAATGAGAGGAAAACACTGGAGAAAAA
The DNA here is from genome assembly GCF_000001405.40 of Homo sapiens. NCBI lineage: Eukaryota > Metazoa > Chordata > Mammalia > Primates > Hominidae > Homo > Homo sapiens. Next base: position 25,993,103 of record NC_000005.10, on the reverse strand, counting down.
ATGACTTAAAAATAGTTTATTCAAAATATGCAGAGAATGATCAGTGCTCCATTTATAAAAAGAAATAATGTAAGAACTTTTAATTTCCAACAAATTGAAATATTTGTTTCAATTATTAAAGTATGCCCTAAACTCATTTAAAAGTGCATATCTAATTTAAATATTTCATTTAGATATATAACTTGTTTTTCATTGGTGCCATTTAAAATATTAACATTTATAAGCGTATGAAAATATTAGCTATTACATATGACCCTTCAGGGATATTTTATTTTCTTCAAAGGAGCATGCACCACCTGTCTTTTTCACTTGTGATATCTCTGAGGTATAACCTATGATAACTAATATATACCTATTAGAATGGCTAAAACAAAACAAAACAAAACAAAACAACCCTAGTAATACAAAATGTTACCAAAAGCTGACAAGAATGTAGAACAACTGTTTGCCATACTTTTTGGTGAGAATAGAAAATGGTATACCCATCATGGAAATCAGTTCATCAGTTTTTTATAAAGTCAAGCATGTACTTACAATGTGACCAGAAATTCCACTGAGACAAAAACAAAATTATGTCACACAAAAACCTGTATTTGAATGTTCATAGAAACATTACTTCCTCCTCCAAACTGGAGATAAATGTCTTTCGAAAAAAAGAATAAATAAGCAACTGTAGTACATACATTCATTGGAATACCATTCAATAACAAAAAAGAAACAAAATATGGGCACAGACAATGACTTGGAAGAGGACATATTTATGGGAAAATGGTGCTGATAGACTTGGCCAATGCAGGGCTGCCAGAAAACTTCAATCTGTAAAAAATGTAGTATCTGCGAAGCACAATAAAGCAAAGTGCATTAAAGTAAGGTATGCTTGTATGACTTGTGGTTTTAAGTTACACCTCCCTAATCACTAACAGTTTTGTGTAACTTAGCAGATTACATAATGCTAAATTGAAGAAGGCAAACTCAAAAGGTTGAATGTGGAATAATTCAATTTTTATGAATTTCCAGAAACGACAACTCTATAGAAATGGAGAACAATCAGTGTTGCCAGGGGTCAGCAGTGAAGGGAGAGTTTGACTGTGAAGAGTTAAGATGAATGAGTATTTGGGGTGAAGAAATTTTTCTGTATCTGGGTTTATGGTGATGGACACATGAATCTCTGCATGCATTAAAACTCACAGAAGGCCGGGCGCCGTGGCTCACGCCCGGAATCCCAGCACTTTGGGAGGCCAAGGCGGGCGGATAACGAGGTCAGGAGATTGAGACCATCCTGGCTAATACGGTGAAAGCCCGTTTCTATTAAAAATACAAAACATTAGCCGGGCGCGGTGGCACGCGCCTGTAGTCCCAGCTACTCTGGAGGTTGAGGCAGGAGAATCACTTGAGTCCGGGAGGAGGAGCTTGCAGTGAGCCAAGATCGCGACACAGCACTCCAGCCTGGGTGACAGAGTGACACTCCGTCACAAAACAAAAACAAAAACTGCAACAACAAAAACTCACAGAGGCCAGGCACAGTGGCTCATGCCTGTAATCCCAACACTTTGGGAGGCCGAGGCGGGTGGATCACCTGAGGTTAGGAGTTTGAGACCAGCCTGGCCAACATGGTAAAACCCCATCTCTACTAAAACTATAAAAATTAGCCAGGCGTGGTGTCAGGTTCCTGTAATCCCAGCTACTCGGGAAACCGAGGCAAGAGAACTGCTTGAACCTGGGAGGCAGAGATTGCAGTGAGCCGAGATTGCTCCACTGCACTTCGGCCTGGGTGACAGAGCAAGACTCCCTCTCAAAAAAAAAAAAAAAAAAAAAACCCACAGAATTTCATGCCAACCTAGAAAGAATAATATGCTAACCATAAAAGAATAATATCATTTTAAACTATCATTTAAAAATTAAAATAATATTTTAAGGAATTTGAGTATAAAATTGACATATATGTATAGTATAAAGCATTGATCTGTCCTCATTCATGTAGATTATGTCTACTAGAAAATTCATATTTTTAATTTTAGTATGTTTCATTTGACTTGACAGTATAGGAGTAGTATTCCGCATTAGATTTTCCAGCTCTAAATTCAGCCTATGTACAAATTAATGTGTTTTGGAATGAAAAAATTGCACAGATGTCATTTTCCTCAAAAGCAAGCAAACTATGAATGTAAATAATGCAGTGTTTTGGTTTGGAGCTTCCAGAATCACTTGGAATCTGAGATATTGAAATGTCAACAGTTTGAGACCATTTTCTGCCATAAAAATGAGTAGACTGATAGCCACTTTTCTTATTTGTTACTTTCATTTACTTTTTAAAAAATCCTTATTAATAAAATTTGGCAGAGTTTTCTGTATCTGTGATTGTTGTGACATTATACTGTTTTGAAAAAAAACAACCCAAATATTACAGTTATGTCAGATTTATTATGCATAATTATTATTATTACTGACATTATATGGGAATATCAAGGATATTATACAGGAATATAAAGGTGAAAAAAATAAAGTCAGAATACAGTTGCAGGCATTATTCGTATATATTGAGGGTTCGATTCCAAACCACCACAATAAAATGAAAATGACAATACAGCAAGGCACACAAGTTTTTTTTTGGTTTCCCAGTACACATAAAAAGCTGTTTACATATGTGTGCACGTGTCTTTATAGCAGCATGATTTATAATCCTTTGGGTATATACCCCGTAATGGGATGGCTGGGTCAAATGGTATTTCTAGTTCTAGATCCTTGAGCAATAACAAAGACTTTGAACCAACCCAGATGTCCATCAATGATAGACTGGATTAAAAAAAATGTGGCACATATACACCATGGAATTCTATGCAGCCATAAAAAAGGATGAGTTCATGTCCTTTGTAGGGACGTAGATGAAGCTGGAAACAATCATTATGAGCAAACTATCGCAAGGACAAGAAACCAAACACCGCATGTTCTCACTTACAGGTGGGAATTGAACAATGAGAACACTTGGACACAGAAAGGGGAACATCACACACTGGGGCCTGTGGTGGGGTGGGGATGTGGGAAGGGAGAGCATTAGGAGATATACCTAATGCTAATGACAAGTTAATGAGTGCAGCACACCAACATGGCACATGTATACATACATAACAAAACTGCACGTTGTGCACATGTACCCTAGAACTTAAAGTATAATGAAATAAAATAAAATAAAAAATAAAAAACAAAAAACAAAACAAAAAAAGCCATTTACATTGCATTGTATTTTATTAAGTGTGCAATAATATTACGTCTAAAACAACCAATGCACATACCTTAATTAAAAATACTTTACTACTAGAAAATGACAGCAATCATTTGAGTCTTCAGCAAGTTGTAATCTTTTTGTTGGTGGAGAGTCTTTCCTCAGTGTGACAGCTGCTGAATGATCAGAGTGGTGGTTGCTGAAGGTCAGAGAGACACAGCATCTTCATCAGAAGCAAACATCATCTCAAAAACACTTTCTTGGCTTACCTATCAAAAGCAACTCTTTATCTATTCAAATTTAATCATGAGATGACAGCAGTTCGGTCCTATCTTCAGGCTCCTCTTCTAATTTTAATTCTCTTTTTATGTTCACCACACCTGCAGCTGCTTCCTACACGGAAGTCTTGAATACCTCAAAGGAATCCATGAGGACTGGAAACAACTTCTTCAAAACTACTGTTAGTGTTGATAATTTGACCTTGTCCAATGAGTCACAAATATCCTTACTGACATCAAGAATGTTGAACCCTTTCCCAAAATATTTCAAAGGACATGGCCCAGATCCTTCAGAAGAATCAGTATTCTCTGGTAGCCATAGCCTTGGAAAATGTATTTATTAAATAATAAGAATTTAAAACAAAATTACTCCTTGATTCATGGGCTTCACAATGGACGTTGTGTTAGCAGGCATGAAAATAAGATTAATCAGCTGGGCTCATGCCTGTAATCCCAGCAGTTTGGGAGTCTGAGGTGGGTGGATCATTTTAGGTCGGGAGTTTGAGACCAGCCTGGCCAACATGGTGAAACCCCGCCTCTACTAAAAATACAAAAATTAGCCAGGTATGATGGCAGGCACCTGTAATCTCAGCTACTTGGGAGTCTGAGGCAGAATAATCGCTTGAACTCAGGGGGTGGAGGTTGCAGTGAGCTGAGATCGCGCCACTGCACTCCAGCCAGGTGACAGAGCGAGACTGTCTCAAAAAAAAAAAAAAAAAGGAAAAGAAGATAAATGTCCTTGTACAACTCCATCATAGCTCTGTGTTGGTTATGTTTGGTGTCTTATATGGCTGTAGTTATGGGACCACAAAATAATTACAACAGTAACATCAAAGACTACTGATCACAGATCACCATAACAAATATAGCAATAATGAAAACATTTGAAATATTATTAAAATTACCAAAATGTGACACAGAAAACACAAAGTGAGCACATGCTATTGTAAAAATGATGCAAATAGACTTGCTCAATACAGGGTTGTCAGAAATCTTCAATTTGGAAAAAATGTAATATCTGCAAAGCAAGATAAAGTAAAGTGCATTAAAATAAGGTTTGCCTGTATTACTTGTGGTTTTAAGTTACACCTCCCTAATCACTAAGAATTTTATGTACCTTTCATGTACTTACTTGCTTTCATCTTTCTTCTTTGGTGAAGTATCTGCTCAAACTTTGGCTCACATTTTTAATGCTTTTTTGTGTGTGTGTTTGCATTGACAAATTTGAGAGTTTTTTCACATTTTCAACACAAGTTATTTACCAAATTCTCAATTTTCTCCCAGCCCGGCTTGTCCTTTTATTTACCTTTGTAAATCATATAATACATGTAGATTAATACATATGAGACAGCTTATAGTAGATTAAGTAATACTATATTTTCTTGTAGATATACCTGTTTTATTCATTTAAATACCAATGTCTATAAATACTATTCCTGGAGAATTACTGTGTAGGTTGGAATTTTGCATTTAGTTTAGAAGCCATATGACTAAAGGTTAATTGATTTAATGTCTTTTTGCCATCGTGAACTTATATACAAAATGGAATAAAAATAGTGACTAAATTATAAGGCTACTGAAATAATGTATATAAAGGTACTTAACATAAAGCATAGCCTAAAATGCATCCTCTATGGTTAAATATTAGTAGTGAGCTTTAAAAATAACTTTATGAAGTAAGATAAACTTGACTCTTTTTCTGACTTTATCTCGTATTTTAAAATATTTCCAGGCTTACTCCTTTGTTGTGTTATTCTGTTTTTATTTTAACTTTACTGGATATCTTACTACTAGCCATTTATTAAATTGCTGCCACAATATATCAAGGAAATTCTATGGTAACCACATTGTGTATAGCACTATTTCACATATTGAGAACATTAAGCCCACTCAGTTAATTCCACATTTATTCATATGTTTTTAATGCATCTCATTTCTTTTTTATCAGTACTGCTATCTTATCAGTACTGCTATCTTATCAGTACTACTATTACTTTTAGTTCCTACAACTCAACATGAACTATATTTGTTTCTTTTGGTTTTTGTATTTCCTAGAATAATCATGTAATAATGGCTGTTTTGCTCCCCCCATCCATTTTTAGACAGTTGTTTTATACATGAGCAACAGATCTTTTTTCCACAAATAATTCTTATTGTTTTTGGGTAGAGGGTGTTTCATTTCAGAGCTTCTCAGAACTACAAAGGAGATGCAAGTGGGTTGAAAAAAGATTTCTCCTGAAGTTCTGATGTGTTATTTACTGAGGAAAGCCTTCTAGACTATGGTAAATGATGAATATGATATTTTAAGATTAATTATGTTGCATGTTAAAATGAATAAAAATTATTATTGTTACATAATTAAAACTGGCAAAACCTTCTATCAATTTAGGTCTAAAGTATAAAAAGTAAAAAGATAAAGGTGATTTTACTACCCTACTTAAGATTTCAGATTATTTATTTTCTGTGTCTTTACGTGTGGCTGCGAATGAAATTTAAGCTAATGCTATCTCTGAAATCCTTACTCATTGGGTTCTCATTTACAATTGTTTGTATTGTTCTTGAGTGGCAAAGCGTCAGTTTAAGCCTCAAAGTGTCATATGCCCCAGCCAGAAGAGCACTGAAGGTAGTATATTTCCTGTTTGTTGTTTAGCCCCCTGATAATCTCCCCTGTTTGCACTCCTTTGTCATCTGTTCTAGGAAACGTCAGATGGAAATTGCTTCCTGAAAACCTTCTATCATTATTTTCCTTCTGATTTTCTTCTGATTCAAATAATGAAAGTTCGGTTTTCCAGAAGGCAGGCACTGAGATGGAATTAGAATAGCCAATGTATCATCAATTTATTTTACCAGTGTCTCACTGTCTTCAGTGTATAGATCTTTCACCACCTTGGTTATATTTATTACTAAATATTTTACCATTTTTATGCTATTGTATATAGAATTGACTTTTTTCTTTCTTCTCCAGATTTTTTTGTTAGTGTATAGAACCAAAAAAATTTCTGAGTTAATATTATATCCTGCTACTTTACTGCATTTCTATGTTAGTTCTAATAATTTTGGTGAAGTCTCCAGGGTTCAAAATTGAATAAGACACAAATAAATGGAACAATCTCATGTTCATGGGTTGAATGCATCTTTATTAAATTCCAAAAAGATTTTTTACAGAAATAGAAAAAAAAAATTCTAAAATTCACATGGAATAAAAAAAAAACTCAAACATCCAAATAAATCTTGAGAAATAGGAACAAAGGTAGAAGCACCACACTTTCTAATGCCAAATGATATTTCAAAGTTATAGTAATCAAAACAGTCAGTTCTAGCATAAAAACAGACATAGAACCATGTGGAACATAATTGAGAATACAGAAATAAACTCATGCATATAGAGTCAACCAGTCTTTGACAATGACACCAAGAATATATTAGGGGAAAGGATAGTCTCTTTAATAAATTATATTGGCAAAAACTGATGTCCATATGCAAAAATATAAAATTGGACATTTGTCCAACTGCATATACAAAAATCACCTCAAAATGGATTAAAGACTTAAATATAAGATCTAAAATCATAAAACCCCCAAATAAAAAGTAGGAAAGAAAAGCTCCTTAATTTTGTTCTTGACAGTGATTTTTTGGATATCACATCAAAAGCATAGGCAACAAAAGCAAAAGTAGAAAAATGGAACTATATCAGATAAAAATCTTCTGCAGAGCAAAAGAAACAACCAACAAAATAAAATGATAGCCTGTGGGATGGGGGAAAATATTTGGAAACCATAAATCTGATTATGAGTTAATACTCAGAATATATGAGGAACTCATGCAACTCAAGAGAAAAACAAACAATGACAAAACTGAAACAAACCAATAAAAATGGGCAAAGAAATTGAAGAGACATTTTCTTTAAGAAGACATACATGTGACCAACAGGTATACAAAAAGGTACTCAATATTACTCATTATCAGAGAAATGTAACAAAACTACAATGAGATATTACCTCACAATTGTTAGGATGGCTGTAATAAACAAGAAGAGCTCACAAGTGTTGGCAAGGATGTGGAGGAAAGAGAAGCTTCATACTTTGTTGGTGGGAACGTAAATTGGAACAGCCATTATGGAAAACAGTTTGCAAGTTCCTCAAAAGATTAAACTAGCATGAGAATTTAGTAGTTCTAAAAATGGAGCTACTATATGATTTGGGAATCCCACTTCTAGGTATATATCCAAAAGAAATAAAATTAGTATCTCAAAGAGATATCTGCACCCCATATTCATTGTAGCATTATTCCCAATAGTCAAGATACAGAAACCTGTGTGTCCGCAACAGATGAATGGATAAAAAATATATATAATATATAAATAAAATTGTGTATATTTATGTGCAAACACACTATATATATATGATATGTCATTGTGTGTGTGTTTGTGTGTGTGTGTGTGAAATGAAACATTCTTCACCCATTAAAAAAAAAAAAAAGAAAATCCTGCCTGTATGAATGTAAAGAACATTACGCTAAGTGAAATAAGCCAGCCACAGAAAGACAAATACTGTATTATGTCTCTAATATATGGAGTTTAATAGTCTAAATCACAGAATCAGAGAGTGGATTGATGGTTACCAGGAGTTCGGGTTTGGAAGAAATGGGGAGATGATCAAAGGTTACAAACTTTGAGTTATAAGATGAATAAGTACAGGAGATCTAATGTAGTGTGTGGTTACTTAGTTAATAATACTGCATTCTTTACTTGAAATTTGCTAACAGTGAAGATCTTAAGTATCCTCACCATACACACATAAATGCACACACACAGGCAAGATATCTACGTTTGATGACAGATGAGTTGGTCAATTTGATTGTGGTAATCATTACACATCACTACAATGTATGTAGATATCACCTCATCACACTATAGACCCTGAGTATACACAATTTTTATTTGTCGATTATACTCCAAAAAGTCTGAGGAAAAACACAATTGCAAAATTATATTGGGTAGTAACACTTGTGAAAAAAATGAAAGAAAAATAGGTAGAATTGGGCAACGCCAACAATGAGACCATGACCCTGGCCCCAAAAATTCTGAGCCAGTCCAATGGACAGTCTTCAGAGCAAATATTGTTCCTTAAAGCAGCTCCTGTTTGGAGTGGAAATAGGCAAATCCTTTTAATATCATCTTGGTCAGCCATTGGCTGGGGGCCTCCTTGATACCTGCATGGATGCTGCTGGAAGGCATAGGAAGATTCTCAAAGTTCTGAGCACTGGAGACTTTGAGCCAATATGCACTTTTCAGGTGGACAGAGGCTTTCTTGAATGAGATGATCTAAGCGGTGTTTTTGCTTCTCCGTTTATGCCATGGCAAGCAAATAAATACAGTTTAACTTTTAGTTAATTGCTTTAACTGACATTAAGGGATAATATGAATAACATTGGACATTAATGCTTGTCAAAATCAACTTATATTCATGTTAATTACAATTATTAGCTCATAGTTATTGATCATTCAGAGTTTGTTATAAAAATAAAACATATATACTCTAAATATATTTGGCTTGAGAAACATGGGCTAAGAACAGAAGAGCCAAAAAATCCTAGTGTCGTTTTATAATTTCTAATGAGAATTTAATGTAAATAATTTTTAAAAGCATAATTAGTAGAGGAATATGAACTATTTTATATTTATGCTTAAATGTGTGTATATGTGTGTGTGTATATATATATATCAGAATGTACAGTATAATAAAATTATGACCTACTTTTGAGTAAATGTCCCAAAGGGCCTAATTATCCATATAAAATAATATATTACTCATTTTAAATTTTAATTTAACAACTTGACATACTCCTGCTTTTTCAGACTAGATAATCAACTTTCTTAGATATGTAATTTTAACAATAAAACTTTTATGAAATATAATTATGCACATTGTTAAAACAAATATTAATTTTTGCAAATCAATCATAATAAAGTAAATAATCAAAATAAATAATGCACACAAAGGAGATTAGAATTATAACCAGTAAATAACATAGGATATTTTCACATCAGAAAAATGAAACCAAAATTGATTCACCTTATACTGAGGTTTTAAAAAAGTATACAAATAAAACAATACATTCAAAAGGTTAAATTTGTCTAAATGTTACTTTTCTATGTATTATATCTTTCATATAATTTTAGAAAATATAAGATATTAAAAAGCACATTACAATTAGCACAATAAGTTATCACATAGTATTATTAAATAACAAGTGTGGTGTTCCATTTTGTGTGTTCTACTTACTGAGCAACTATTGATAATTCATACTTATTTACAATTTTGTAACTTGGTATTCTTATTTAACTCTCAGAGGAGAAGAAATGCATAATGAATCATTGATGACATCGAACAGAAGGATATCTATACTGAATACTTAAATGCGTATTAATGGTTTACTGTTCTAGCTTACATCAACTATTAAAAATTGATCTATTTTAATTAAAAAATATGGCGTAGATATTGAACTCAGAATGTTGTAAACACATTGGTATTCTTCCTCTCTGGTTGCTTTTCAATTTTCAATCTTTTAAGTGAGAAGATAAAATTTTCAAATGTATTTATACTAACATCAAAATAGTAATTTAACAAAATAAGTGCAAAACGTACACCTTGAAGACTATGAAACATTGTTGAGAGGAATTATAGAAAATCGAAATAAGTAGAAAACTTATATTTCATATGCATGGGATGAAAGTATCTATATTGTCAAGAGAGCAATTCTCAACAAATTGGTTATAAATTCAACACATTCCTTGTCAAAATTCCAACAGATATGATTGTAGGTGTTGACAAGTTGAACTTAAAATTTGTATAGACTTGAAAATAACTTATAAAGTCACAGTGATCAAAATAGTGTAGCTCTGGAGCAAGAACAGGTATAGAGATAAATCAAACAAAATTGAGCATTCAAAGATAACCTTTACATTTATAGTCATATTAATTAATCACAGGTGTGAATACAAATAAGGGAAGGACAATATTTCCAAACTGTTGCTGGGACAATTAGGTATGCATGTGCAAAAGAAATAATTTAGACAATTTGTTCCATACATAAAATTAACTCAAAATGATTCAGAAATCTAAATATAAGAACAAAAACTATAAAATCTCTAAAAGAATACATATGAGAAAATGTTCATGACTATGGGTTAGGCAAAGATTTCTTAGATAAACCACCGAAATATGATCTTTAAAAGAAAAAAATATCAATTTACCTTATCAAAGCTAAAAACTCTCTCCACTTTAAAAGACATCATTATTAAAACTAAAAAATAAGCTACAGATTGGGAGAAAGTATTTACACATCATATAGCAATAGAAGAATTGTATTCAGAACATATAAAAAAATCTTAATTCAATGATTAGATGCTAACCAAACTAATTAAAAATAGGTAAAACATGAGGATAGATATTTAACCTTAAGATACTTATGCCTAAACATAATTTTATATGTAAATATAATTAATTGTATTTTATTAGCCTTTATAATGTTTTCTAATGTGTTCCATTGACACTTAATAAAGCATATTTCTACCATTTTTAAACTCATGGTTTATGTAGATCTAAATATTTTTATTTTGTAAGTGAAGGCCACGCTTTTCTAATCTATTGGAAGTACACGTCATGAATGTGAATGGAGGTGACAGGGAGATATTTAGATATCTTTCTGAAGGTTTAGTTTAGTTTACATTCTATGATGATGTATTACTCTAGTGCACACATATGATTAGACTGAGAGAGAAATCATTTTGATCATGTGTTTGTTATCATGAACATGCTCTTCAACCTTTTTGCTGCAACAAGCAGATCATTCTTAAATGTAAGTCACAGAAATCAGGTTTCTAAGATAATAAGAAAATATTTAAAATGAAAAGAGTAAGATAACTTTAACAGTCGCAGCTGTTCCTTGATGGCATGGCTGCCTGACAAGAAAGATTTCCAACGCAGGAGGTAATAAAACAATTATTGTATAATCACCTTTGGGAATGTTGTAGAACAGAGAAAAAATGCTCAAACGTCTACAGAGGTTAGTATATAATACAAATGAATGAATCAAGCCAGATGTAAGATTCACGTTTTCAAGAATTGTGAAGAAGATCAATCTTTTTACATTGTTCAGTTTTCACGGAGTCATGGATACAGTAAAATCGTTTCTTTCTTTTTTATTTTTCCATGAAGAAAACACAAAAAAAGTATGGTAATTAATGGTTGTAGACACTGGGCCCGAATGTCAAAAACCATGAGAAGGGGTGGTCAGTAGCAAACTATTAAATTCTGTGATGTAGTTAATAGGTGGCCATTATTTAGCTGTGTAAGAGTGTTACAAAGGTTCCCTCCCCTCACTTCCACCCCTCAACAGGCCCTGGTATGTGCTAGTCCCCTCTCTGTGTCCATGTGTTCTCAATGTTCAACTGCCTCTTTTAAGTGAGAACATGCGGTGTTTAATTGTCTGTTCCTGTGTTAGTTTGCTGAGGATGATAGGTGCACCAAACCACCATGGCATACATATACCTATGTAACAAGCCTTCACGTTCTGCTCATGTATACTGTTTTTTTGTTGTTGTTTTTGTTTTTGTTTAGAAGAAAAAAAGAGAGTTACAAAGGGATGAACATGGATAATTGATATGGTTGGTCATGTCCCTACCCAAATCTCATCTTGAATTCTCTCATGTTGTGGCAGGGACCCAGTGGGAGGTAACTGAATCACTGGGGCAGGTATTTCCTGTGCCATTCTTGTGATAGTAAATAAGTCTCAAGAGATCTGATGGTTTTAAAAAGGGAAGATTCCCTGAACAAGTTCTATTCTCTTGTTTGCCTCCATGTGAGACGTGCCCTTTACCTTCCACCATGATCGTAAGGCCTCCCCAGCTGTGTGGAACCATAAGTCCATTAAACCTCTTTCTTTAGTAAATTGTCCAGTCTTGGGTATGTCTTTATCAGCAGCATGAAAACAAACAAATACAGTAAATTGGTACCAGTATAGTGGGGCACTGCTGAAAAGATACCCAAAAATATGGAAGCAACTTGGGAATTTGGAAACAGACAGAGATTAGAACAGTTTGGAGGGCTCAGAAGAAGACAGGAAATTGTGATAAAGTTTGGAACTCCCTAGAGACTTCTTGAATGGCTTTGACCAAAATGCTGATAATGATATGGACAATGAAATTCAGGCAGAGGTAGTCTCAGAAGGAGATGAGGAACTTGGGAACTGTAGTAAAGGTGACACTTGCTATGTTTTAGCAAAGAGACTGGTGGCATTTTGCCCCTGCCCTAGAGATTTGTGGAACTTTGAACTTGAGAGAGATGATTTAGGGTACCTGGCTGAAAAAAATTTCTAAGCAACAAAGCATTCAAAGGGAGACTCAGGTGCTGTTAAAGGCATTCAGTTTTAAAACGGAAACAGAGCATAAAAGCCTGGCATAGGACAATGGGAAAAATGTCTCCATGTCATGTCAGAGACCTTTGCAGAAGCCCATCTCATCACAGACCTGGAGGTTTAGGAGGAAAAAATGGTTTCATAGGCTGAGCCCAGGGTCCTTCTGCTGTGTGAAATCTAGAGACTTGGTTCCCTGAGTCCCATTCACTCCAGCCATGACTAAAAGGGGCCAAGGTAAAGTTTGGGCTGTTACAAAGTCTCAGGATACAAAATCAATTTGCAAAAATTGCTACCATACCTATACACCAACAGTGAAGCTGAAAAGCACAAATGAACTCTCATTCACAAGCTACACAAAAAGAATAAAATACTAGGAACACAGCTAACTAGGGAAGTGAAAAAATCTCTTCAAGGAGAACAACACACTACTAGTCAAAGAAATTAGAGATGACACAAACAAATAGAAAAATAAGAACCTCTTTCTTTAGAAATTCTTTAGTAAAGATCTCTTCAATGAGAATGACACACTACTGCTTAAAGAAATTAGAGATGACACAAACCAACCCAAAACTAGTAGAAGAAATAATAAAGATCATAACAGAAGTAAATAAAATTGAGACTAAAATCCAATGCAAGGAATCAGTAAAACAAAGACTTGGTGTTTTGAAAGAATAAACAATATTACTTTTAAGACTAAGAAAAAAAGAGAGAATACAAATAGAAACAGACAAAAATAGGAGATATTACAACTGACACCACAGAAATCCAAAAGATCATCAGAGACATATGAACAACTATACATCGACACATTGGAAAACTTAGAAGAAGTGGATACATTTTCAGACACATGCAAGTTGCCAACATTGATTCATAAACAAAGAGAAACACTGAACAAACAAATAATGAGTAATGAGATGGGTCAAAGGGTCCAAAGTTATAACTAGGAGAAATAAGTGCTAATGTTCTATTCCATATAGAATGGATAGAGATAACAATAATATATTGTATATTTCTGAATAGCTAGAAAACAGATTTTTGAATATTTCCATCACAAAGAAATCATGAATATTTAAGCTTATAGATATGCTAATCATCCTGACTTGATCATACACAATGTGTATCTGTATCATAATGTATTTTTGTACTCTAAATATGCACAACTATTACATGCCAACCACAATTTAAAATTCTGAAAAGTTATGTGATAACACGTATTTGAAAACAAATTTAATTACCACACACACACACACACACACACACAAACCCAGATATTTCCTGTGGACCAATATTTTTATATCCAAACACACTTTCAACTTAGGCAGTATAGAGCAGATGATTTGCCAGTTTGCAAACTTTAGGCAGTAGGGATACTTGAATTGGGTAGATATTTAAATTAAATGTTGCTATGACATCCTAAATATATTGAAAGTGACATAGTTCTGAGTCTAAAATATCAATGATTGGGTGTAAACTCTTAGTATCTATGATCCAAACACAATTACTATTTCCATTTGCAATCTCAGTTTAAAACATGAATAAAGTATGTTTCTTGAAAAAAGAGATGTGTCCATTTTATCTTCTCATATGCTTATCAGAGAAACAATAACATAGTAGGTCTGCTCTAAATATTTTGTAATAAATGAATAAAGACTCAAATTAGTATGGCATTCTTTATATGCTTAATTATTGTGTAAGACTTGGTGATTATATGCCTTTGTAAGACAAAGCACCTAAAATTATTCCTTTTTTCCCTAACTTTTACATTTCATCTTTGTCAAGTATATATAGCGGACATTAATTTTTGGAATCATACAAAACATCCGTTACAGACATAAGAGTAAGGGAGAATGAGTCTCCATGGACTCTTCTTTCTACTGCTAAATGAATTTCATAAAGAAGTCATGTCCATTATGAAAAGATAAAGTGATGGTGTAATTCTTGAGATAAAACTTATATCTACAGAACCAAGAAATGTTGAAAAATTGTACTTTTTTGTTAACTAGGTTAAGTTTGAGGATGTTATGCTTTGGAATATCTTTATCATAACTGTTTCACAATTTCAATGGATTGCAGATGCTAGGTGATAATCAGTGTAATAATTCTATTTAAATATGTTGGAATATTTGTAATTTATCAGTTATAATTATAAAAGTCTATTTAATATCATTAGACTTCAAAGAAGACAACTATTTCTATGATTCCCATCTCCACTTTAGTTAGACTGTCTATATAAGATATAATACCACTGGCCTGTGTGCTAGAGCATAGCTTTACTGGCAACACATGAGTATGTGACTGCTTATCTCCTAACAGTTTAAACAAAGCAAACAAATATTTTGAATATGTTGTTCCTTAAAGATTTTGCCACAAGAAAACTAGTCAATCAATCGAGATTCCCATGTTGGTCAATCTTAAGCCTCTTTGGCAATCCCCAAATAATTATATAGCCATTGAATAATACTTTTCAAAAGTCTTATCTTTAACATGAAATCATGAGCACTGTGGTGTAAGAACTTTATTCTACTGAAACTAGAACAAGACAGAATCAGTGCTGGTCACCTAGAGTAGAGAAATTTGGAAGTATTTTAAAAATGTGTTCTCAAAGTTTACAGCATAACCCTATCTCATCATACTTGGTGATTTGGTGAGTGTCCAACGTACTTATTACAAATAAAGGAAATACATTCTATTTAAAATACCCTTTCAGTGAGTTCCATAATGAAGCAAATATATTTATACGTATGTATCTTAATGAATTTTTTCATTTTCAGATATTTTTTCCATTTAGAAAGCAATACATTAAAATTTTATTTTTAAAAAGTAGGATAAGAATCAGACATTAAAGGATAGTTAATGCATGATATTGTAATCAGGAAAAATAGGAAAAAATTCATAGTAACTAGAAGTAGGAGTTGAAAGAATATACTCCTGCTTCCAAGTAGACTATCGCAACTGCAATTTATTCATTAACCGAAGTAAAAAGAGTGGAATTTATGTGGCTGCTTACTTAAAATATCAATTTTATTTCTCTGAAGTTTCAAAAGAGTCTGCATTCTGCTGTTTCTTATGAGAGAAAATCCTGAGCATTAACTAAATGGAAATATCACTCAGAGGAATATTTTGAAGCCGATAATGCAAATTGTGAATGAATATGGCCAAATTGTTTTTGCAACTCCAAAGAGAAAATTCTTAGCTGGGAGCAATGCAATGAAAAGTATAATCAAACAAGAAAATTAATTAATTGCTTGGAGCTTCCTTTTAGAAAAGTTTGAAAATTGCCTGATAAGTGAATTTTAAGAAATAGATGAAAACTTGCCATCCCTGTAAGTAGATATTTGTCATATATCAAAGAGAGTAGTCAGGGTCTTAACAAAATTACCTTAGGACACAACTAAAAATGCGTGCACTTGAAAGTGTTTAAAATATGCTTGAAATAAATAAGAAAACTAAGATTAGGTGAATGTTATCATTAGATAAAACAATGGATGTCATCCACTAAGTGTATTTTCTCATCTCTTTTTATTTTAGTGATATTAATGGCTTATAACAGTAACTAACAAAGTGCTTGATGGTAAATGTATATCTGTGAAGAACAGAAAAAAGTGACTATTCAGATGAGGCTAAATTGACTGGGGAAAATTAAGTGCTCGTAGCAGTAGTTGTAAACACAATGATTTGCAAAAAGTATCACTAATATTAAAATCCTAGCTGCATTCCACCCCTCTTTGTTTGTATTATTAATGACACTAAGGGGGAAAAGTTTAGTGACTTATGTCTTATATATGTGATTTTTCCAGTAACCACCCAAACAAAGATTAAAATACTTCTAGAATATTTCAAATAAAATAAAATTCAGATCACTTAAATATAAAAGACAAAATCATAATATTTAACCTTAGAAGATCATGGTAACATACGGCATACACTGAGTGTGGGATAAGCTGAGAACAACTTTAAATACTTTATATCATTTAATATTCAGCACATGCAGATAAACTATGAATTATTCCAATTTTAGAGGCAGCAGCACCAAGGCTTAGAGAGGATAAGTAAGCTGACCTAGCTAGCCCCTAGCGATACCAAGATTTAATCTCTAATCTGCCTGGCAACAAAACAAAGCCTTCCTGTATTACACTCAACTGACTTATCTGGTGGCATGGATGTTACAATTCCAGTTTTACTTAAAACTTTTTGTTTGCTTGTGACTGGTTTTTCATTATTTGGGACAAAGTTGTGGTGAATATAAATCTGTGCAGGGTGATTTTCTATGAGTTTACAAAGACATAGATATCACTAGACAAGTGTGCAATCTCCTTTTAACATCTGAGGGTGACATGAGGATAGCATGTCCAGAAATGTTTGTGTTATCTGTCTACAAAAAAAAAAAGTCTTCAGTTTTTTGTACATGTGATTCCTGAGTGACTTCAACTACTTTCCAGTAACAATGTTAGCAACTATTTTAGTTCAGACTGTCAGCTAACAAATTAATTTAGAAATGTCCTCTTGTGAGTGGATTCTCAGACTCATGCGTGCAACTGTGGAGCAATATTGTTAGGATTGTACTAGCTGCCTTTATACATCTAGAAGAAGCATCACGTGGCCCTTATTCTAAATAGTGATGAAGAAGATTTACTGTAGTTGACTGCTCATTTTTAAACCAACATTGGCAATTGAAATTTATATATCTAGTATGTGTTCATCTGTGTGTTGCGTGTGTATATCTTGATATCTGTGCATATTTGATATATTTATATATAAACAAGACATGGTATGCAATGTATAACATATATGGATGTGTGTATTTATTGTCTAATCTAGAATGGAGGTAATAACAGAATTTGTTTCATGAGCTTCAGGCAACCAGAATCAGAATTTCAGACAGAAGATAGATGAATATAATCTGCAGGTACAATTACAATCTCATGTGTCCTAAACAGCCTACATTTGCACAGTAACTGGAAAGAAACGTATATTGCCAAAATTATTCATACAATAACTAACCTGGTTTCTTAAAAGGGAAGTTCACTACAAAAAATTCTATTTTAAAGAACCAATGTTTATTATTTAAAAAATTAATATCCAATGGTGGTTCAATTTAGCTATGTGAATGTTATAAAATTGTGTTGAATTTTTTCTGCCATGGTTCTGAAGTCAGATTTAAGTCATTAAAATAATAGTTATTTTAAATAATTACGTTTAGAAATAAAACTAATTACTCAAGTTTTCTATTGGCTATTTTCTTGCAAAATATCTATTAGTAAATTTTAAAATATATGTTTGTACAGTGCTTGAATGATAAAAAATCACAAATACTCCTATTGCCTGTAACGAAAATAGATATGCAGATTCTGCCATTCAAATGTTCCTTTTACTTTATCATATTTTACAGAACTTTATATCCAAAGGGGAAAAGGAAATTTGCAAATATTTCTTATTCGATGAATAAACATAAGGACAATCCTCACAGCACTTTGCAGATTGTGCTAAGGCATCAGACTGGCAAGAATGTAAAGGCTCCAAATGCTTTTGTTGGTCTAATTGTTTTGCATCTGCCAGCCCTGCCAGCCTGTGTGTGTTCTAGTTGCTGACACCTGCTTCATTTCATTTTGCAAAATTCCACCTAATTTTCAAAAGAGAGGGAAACAAACTTTAATATTTGAAGAAAATATATTACATTTGAAAAAAACAAAAACACCTCTGGCATTGTGTCAAAATATAAAACTTTACATTCAAGAGAATCCTATACAAAGCCATCTTAATGTACATGTACACCTTAGAAATAATTCTTGCTTGCTGAACAACAGGGAATTCATGTTACATGAATAGAATTTTTAGGAATTCCATCTGCTACCTAGTTAACTGATCAAGAATATCTGATTAGTTTTATAATCACAAAGTATTTGGGGGGAAGAAAGAGGATTTTTTATGGCTATAAAAAGATTATCAGCTATTTCTTTACTGGACAAATATTATTTTATCAGGTACTATTCTAGCCACCTGAATTACATCATTAAACAGATCTTTGCCTTCATGGAACCTATGTCATTGGAAAAAAGTATAAGCCATAGAATGAATAACCATAGCCCTGCTTGCCTGTGATAACTCCAATGTATGCCTCTTGTCATGAGATACTGTGCATAGCAACCTCTTTCATTCCTCAAATTTTACGGGTTCAGTTAACACATTGAATGGTCACCTTAGCAATACACATAATAACTAGGTAAATTACTTAGAATGTTATGTAATAAGTACTTTGGGGAAAACATAAGTAAAGTGAGGTGGAGGGTTATCAGAGTGTGGGAGATGATGGAGAGGGAGTTACAAATTACAAGGGCTGCAGGGGTAGACCTCACTGCAGATTGATACCTAGCAATTACTGAAATGAGTAGAGGTGCATTTTTTTTTTTGAGATGGAGTCTCACTCTGTTGCCCAGGCTGAAGTGCAGTGATGTGATCTCAGCTCACTGAAACCTCTGCCTCCCGGGTTCAAGCGATTCTTCGGCCTCAGCCTCCCAAGTAGGTGGGATTACAGACACACGCCACCATGCCCGGCTAATTTTTGTATTTTTAGCAAAGAAGGGGTTTCACCTTGTTGTTCAGGCTGGTCTCGAACTCTTGACCTCGTGATCTACCTGCCTCGGCCTCCCAAAGTGCTAGGATTACAGGCGTGAGCCACCGCACCCGGTGAAGTGCCACTTTAGTGGTTCTGTGTCCAGGCCAAAGCAACTCCACTGCAAATATCTTAAAATGGGCATGTGCCTTAAGCCACAGGGTCAGTGTAGTTGGAATAGAGAGTAAATATATCCAGGAGAAAAAGAGAGCCAGAACATGTAATTACTTGTAGCCATTGTAGCATGTTTGGGTCTTTCTCTAAGAAAATTGAGAACAAAACTGGATTGGTTTCCACAGGGAAGTAACAAAATAATTTCTCTAACTGTTGTTGGAGACTTGACTGTACGCAGTAAAAACTGAAAAGGAAGACCCGTTTGGGGAATTTTCGGCTTCCTGTTTCACTGACTAAAGTAGGTAATAAAATGAATTGATTTAGTAATAGTGATATCTTTGACATTTTCACCATTTTTTTTTTATTTTGTTTTGAGAGGGTGTCTCGCTCTGTCTTGCTCAGGCTGGAGTGCAATGGCGCCATCTTGACTCACTGCAGCCTCCGCCTCCTGGTTTCAAGTGATTCTCCTGTCTCAGTCTCCCGAGTAGCTGAGATTATAGGCGTGTGGCACCACATCCGGCTAATTTTTTTGTATTTTGAGTAGAGACGTGGTTTCACCATGTTGGCCAGGCTGATCTTGAACTCCTGACCTCAGGGGATCCACCCACCATGGCATCCCAAAGTTCTAGGATTACAGGCATGAGCCACCAAGCCTGGCCATTTTCAGCATTTTTTATAAATGCTTTTTTATTTTAGTATATAGTAGCATATAGTAGCATGCTTATCCTGTCTTTTTCATATTTTGCTGTTTTGTTTGCTTTATAAGTATTTATAAAATAAATAATTTTATCAAATTACTTATTCAGCAACTTCTCATGTAATTGGGTTTTTTCCATTTAATATGTCAATATGGTGAATCAAATATGTATGCATGTGTCGACCTATAAAACAAACAGGGAGATATTTATTTGGGAATTGACATTGCAATGGGAATATACATGCCATAATAAACTGTGCATATACAGGGAGGCAAAGGACAACAAAGGTTTTTAAAGGAAAAATGAGGATAATTATTTTCTTGAGATAATTATCTTTGGCTGCAAGGATCAATAACAAATTGGCAACAGTCTGAGATTGGACAGAAAGTTGCTAGGAAAATGTCCTCACGTAAGTATATTTTTAGTTAAGTTTATGGTGGCTTTTGTGAAAAGTTGAATTTGTTGTCGTCTCTTGTGATAGTTCTTGTTACCAGATATTTGTGCATGGGAACCTTCCCTTCATGGCCTTATCTGGCTTCATTTATCAGCATTTTTTAGCACTAATGATTCCATTTTTATTCTGACAACATTCATATTTCACAGTTTTGGTCAGGGTCTTTCTCTGAAAGCACCACTGATCAGTCATTCTGTAGTTATGTTTGATGTCCCTTGGTACTGGGATGAACCTGTCCCAGGTTGTTGTTGCTCTAGCCCCACACTGGAGGTTGCAGTTGGCAACTAGCAGCCTGTGTCAAAACCTTTTTTGCCACATTTGAGTTACAAGGGAGATTCAGAAATAGTGGCTCTCAGGCTAAGTCTACCTAAAGTTCAGTGTTAACTTCAATTTTGTTTGTCTATTACCTTAAAATGCTGGGCCAGCATTATTCAGTTAGGAGTTGTAGTTTTACATACATTTAACAAATAACAGTTACAACATTAAAAATTAAAAAGAAAAAATATGAAGTGAAATTGATAATGAGAACATAGTTCCACTTTGCCTAATGGGTTTGAGCTATGAACCTACGCTTAAAGGCAACAAATTCAATAAATCAAATGAGAATAAGCAATTAGGTGGCATCTATTTTAACCATGTGCCCTACTTTCTTATTTTGTGTATATGGGTCTCAACTTTCCATGAGGAATTTATTTAGGTACAGCATGAAATATTAGCAATAGCACAGACTTTTTTTTTTTTTGAGACAAGTCTGTACTCCAAGGCTGAAAATACAGTGGTGTAATCACAGCTCTCACTGCAGCCTCAACCTCCTGGGATCAAGCAGTTCTCCCAGTTCAGCCTCCTGAGTTGCTGAGACCACAGACATGCCACTATGCCCAGCTAATTTAAAAAAATAATAATAATAGAGACAGGGCTGGTTTCAAACTCCTAGGCTAGAGGGATCCTCCAGCATTGGCCTCCAAAAGTGCTGGAATTACAGACATGAGCCACCGAGTCTGGCCAGATATTTATTTAGTTAGTTAGTTAATAGATAACTTTCAGGCCATTTTTGTTTTTCTGTAAAGATATACCTAAGGCTAGGTAATTTATAAAGAAAGCGGGTTTAATTGGCTCACGGTTTTGCAGACTGAACAAGCATGGTTCTGACATCTGCTTTGTTTCTGAGGAGGACTCAGTGAACTTTTACTCAAGGTAGAAGGTGAAGTGAGAGCAGGCACATCACATTGTGAAACCAGGAGCATGAGAGAGAGGGGGCAGGTTCCACAAACTTTTAAATAACCAGATCTTGTGAGAATTCCCTCTCAATCAGGAAGACAGCAGCAAGCCATTTATAAAGGATCCACCTCCATGACCAAAACACCTCTACCAGGCCCCACCTCCCACACTGGGGATAACATTTTAACATGAGATTTGGAGAAAACAAAAATCTAAACTACATCATAATATTGAGCAAATTTTTAATCTAGTATCCCATGACTGGGTTGAATTAGAGCAGATAGTAAGTGACAGTTGTATTATGGGTGTTTTCAAAGTTACCTTCTAGGTGGTAGTCTAAAGGATCTTTTAGGTCAGGTTCTGTCAGGATACCAGCAGAAGATACTAATTGTGAAATTTCAACTCTACCATTATCCAGACAATTGAAAAAGGTAGCCTTAAGGAAAGTAAGAGTCTCATTATAATATGGAGTCCTGCTCCAATGTCACAGAAAGAGCTGTGCACAGCATGAAGCTATCAACTTCTCATCCTGGTGTATAGTTTAAATATCTCTGGTTATGGTATCAGGTAGTTTGGTGAAATAGTTGTGTGACCCATGCATAAGACATGAGACTTGTTCCTTAAAATATATTTAGTTTCAGCTTACAGGGCTTTGAGAACCAGAACAGTCCCTGTTCTTAGTCATTACATGAAACATAGTTGGATTGAAGAAATCTAGAAGACTTCAGGGTGTAGTCCATTCTATAGGTAGATAATAAGACCTCAAAAACAATGAACAGAGCTAGAATCTAATAATAGATATAGTTTTTTCTTTAGAAAGACAACTTTTTCTCTCTATAATCTTGCCCATTATTTACCTAAGACAATCAAACAAATTTGTTTGTAAAATTTTAGGGTTATCAAATTTGGCCTGAAAGAATAGTGATTTGAACACATTGTAATCTCAGATTTAAACTTTTTTTAAGACTAAAAAGCCAAATCAAGAAAGATTTTAGAATTTCATCTGCAGTACCTAATATCTTGAGGTTCCTGGGACTTCCAAGAGGTCACAATTTTCTATTCACTCACTGTGAGGCTCAGAACCCTTGAAGCTAGGCAGTCTATGCATATTCCCAAATATAACATTCTAATCAAAGTCTTGGTGATATAACCAATGTTTCCATTTGTATCCTGTTATAAAGAGAGCATATTGTGATTGAACTTCTGCAAATAACAATATTGCCATAGAAAATAAGAATACTCATGAATAGTTTCTACATTTTGCAAGGATCAAGTAGGGAGAACAAGTAAATGCTCCCACTTTTGTTCATAAAGATATACTGTAAACTCCACATAATTTGAAAGAGAAAGTTTCTTTAAATCTGGAAAACAAAAGATTAAAGAACAGATATGTTTCAAATAAAAGTCACAAAAACATTATCTTTAGCAGTGATTTAATCTGATGCATCAGGGGAATCCGCCCCCGATAATTCAACGTTATTTCACATAGGTTCTTTTCTATTTCCCTAAGTGTCGGCCGGTCCGAGAAATAAAGAGAAAGAGTACAAAAGAGAGAAATTTTAAAGCTGGGTGTCCGGGCTAGACCTCACATGTTGGCAGGTTCCATGATGCCCCCTGAGCTGTAAAACCAGCAAGTTTTTATTAGCAATTTTCAAAGGGATGACATGCTTCAAGGGTGACAAAAGATCACAAGGCAGAAGGTCAGGGCAAAACTAGAATCACTAATGAACTTCCCTGTCCTGTTGTGCACACATTGTCAGGGTTCAAGAACAGAGAACCAGTCTGACTAGAATTCGCCAGTCTGGAATTTCCTAATCCTAGCAAACCTGGGAGTGCTGCAAGATACTAGGGCATGTTTCATCCCTATCTACATCTGCATAATGCAGACACTCCCAGGGTGGCCATTTTAGAGGCCCCACCCTGGGAATGCATTCTTTTCCCAGGGCTGTTAATTATTAATATTCCTTGCTGGGGAAAGAATTCAGCGATATTTCTCTTACCCATTTTTGGTAATAAGAGAAATATGGCTCTGTCCTGCCCTGCCCACAGGCAGGACAGACTTTAAGGCAGCCAGACTTTAAGGTTATCTCCCTTGTTCCCTGAAAATTGCTGTTATCCTGTTCTTAAGGTGCCCAGATTTCATATTGTTCAAACACACATGCTCTACAAACAATTTGTGCAGTTAACACAACCATCATAGGGTCCTGAGGCGACATATATCCTCAGCTTACGAAGATGACAGAATTAAGAGATTAAAGACAGGCATAGGAAATCACAAGAGTATTGATTGGGGAAGTGATAAATGTCCATGAAATCTTCACAATTTATGTTCAGAGATTGCAGTAAAGACAGGCGTAAGAAATTATAAAAGTATTAATTTGGGGAACTAGTAAATGTCCATGAAATCTTCACAATTTATGTTCTTCTGCCATGGCATCAGCTGGTCCCTCTGTTAGGGGTCCCTGACTTCCCACAACACTGATGTAGTTAATTTTTGTTTTGGTTGATATGGATTTGCAGTTTCACAAGTTCATCAATTTCTTCATTAATATTCTAGAACATTTTTCTTTAGTCTATTGGTTGTAAAGTTTTTAGAAATCTGCATTCAAGAGTACTATTATAGAGGTTTCCATGAATTTAATGGCAGAATCATTTAGATAATTCAAAACAATAACTATAAATAACAAAAACTGAAATCTGACAAGGAAATGTGGTTAATTTTGTGTGACGCCACATAACCCAAATTATCATGACATATTAGATTTTTTAAATATTTTATACATTTTTGGAACATTAATATCAATAATGTATACATAAATGTAATTCAAAGAAGATCTAGCATCTTTTATCATTTGACAAGTCTTTACATGTAACTCAATATTTCAGATAAATCCAATATAGTTCAATATCTCTTTTTTGTAAACATTTGAGAAGTACTGGGGCCTTTTAACATATCCCAAAGTTAACTTGAGGTTAAAAAAAAGGTCTTAAAATTTTGATACTGGGCAACCAAGCAAAGATACCAAACATTTAGAAACACTTGATCAAATAAGTTATTGTAAAATAATAGTCATTCACTTAACCAGAATAAGAAGTAAATACAGAAAGTTACATGGATGAACAACAACAACAACAATCTTAACTTTTTCAAAGCTCAGCTTTCTTAAGTAATAAAATAAAGACCTGAATAAAGACAGCAAGAAGCACAGGGTATTACAAAATCTGTATTTCCCAGGCCAGTTGCCAAAAAAGGTTTTTTAAAAATCAAACCAAAACCTAATTGCAGTATGATTGATTCTCCTTAGAGGAAACTCATTTAGATAACCTAATCCTGATGAAAAGGTACTTGAATTTAATCAGAAAAAGGAAGTGTGTGTTCAACTTTATGATTGCACACCATATTATAGAGGAATGTAAACAAATTTACTAGTGCCTTGAGCAGGGGAATACATGGCTCTTACTACGGACAGAAAGCATGGAAAATATCCTGGTTACATGAAACAATTCGGACACATCAGTGAAAGCTATGTGTACAGAACTGAGTTATATTGGAGAAAAACATTGTTTTTCTAAACCTTCAAGATAGAATATACAGTGTCAAGCCATAACAGTAGAATTAGAACCAGAAGAAAAATGTTACAAGAGCTGATGAAAAAGTTAACAGAGAAAGTTATCAACTTAGTCAAGCAATATAATGTACCTTTTCTAGGGGAGAAAGAGAAAAAGCAGAAAGCAATGATATATGACTGCAAATGACATGCAGTGAGATACAGCAAAAGTTGAACTTCTAAGATACAGATCTGAAAAGCTTCAAGAGGAAACCTCTACCTTGAGAAACAGAATTGCCATACTACATAAAAAAGATAATTTAACCTAGAATTAGGGGAATTATTTTATTTTATTATTTATTTATTTAATTTATTTATTTATTTTTAAGATGCAGTCTCACTGTGTCACCCAGGCTGGAGTGCAGTGTCACCATCTTGGCTCACTGGAACCTCCACCTCCCTGGTTTAAGCAATTCTCCTGCCTCAGTCTCCCGAGTAGTTAGGACTACAGACCATGACCTCGCCCAGCTCATTTTTGAGGGGTATTTTTAGTAGAGGTGGTGTTTCACCATGTTGGCCAGGCTGGTCTCAAACTCCTGACCTCAAATGTTCCACCCACCTCAGTCTCCCAATATGCTGGGATTACAAGTGTGAGCAAACACGGCTGGTCAGAATTAGGGAATTTAAATGGATACTATAAAACAGAAAAAAAGAAATAAGCTACAATGGAGAAGATGGTTGAAATTTTAAATCAACAGGTTTTCAAATTAAATAAAAACCTCTTTCAAATTTTAGTAAGAGTAGATCAATACTTCAAAACAACCTTGTTATTCTAACAAAGGGCAACAAATTGTTAGCTTTGTATTAGTGCATACTTAATATTAATGCTCAGTATTTAGAAAGACAGAAATAATTCCCTTCTAATTATAGCCAACTTGATAATGCACAAAATTTCTTCCATATATTTATGCTTCAAAAATCTTTCACAACTTACTAAGAACCTTCCACAACATGCTTTGACCTTTAGTTTTGTCTTATATTTCCTCTTTCCTAAATAACCATGCATGACTTTAGAACAATAAAAGTAGTTTTTCTTATATTTTTGAAAAATTATTCTCTTCTCTTTTTAACTTTTTGTACTAAAAATACATCTCTGTATGTATACTTATTTATTCATATCTCTGTCTTCTACTTACTGGTTCTTAAAATTTAAGAAACCAAGAACAAACCTATAATTATTTTCAGTAATTCATTTTAAGTATTTTAACTTAGTTAGAAATGACCCATGCATTTTATAAATATCTACTACTTAATTTCATATAACGTAATTTTAAGATTTTAAATTACATGATGTTTATTTATAAATGTTTATTCCATTTATATTTACCCAATATATTTATTTTTTACAATTATACCTCGACCACATATGAAAACTGAGATATTAGACAAAGCTAGTTATCACTGCAAGTTATTTCCCTGTTAATCATTTTTATATCCTGTGACTCTTCACCTGAATAAAAACCTTAAAGTAAATACATGATATTTTGTCAATAATTCTGAAAATACAATTGTTTTTATGAAACCAACAATATCAAATTAGTATTACGTATCAAAGATTTGAACGAACAAAGATCATTCTTTTAGGCTGTATTTAGAGTTCTATGACCTTAAAACATCTAGCAGAGACAAATAGAATTCTACTGAACAGTAAACCCAGGCAAAAATGTATGCTGCCAATTCTGAAGACATTTTTATTTTTACAATACATTTAAAATTAGCTTCCATATTAAGCATTTATTTAAGTCATGAGAACTAAAAGACATTTGGGTTAATTACTATAATTTTTAAAAAATTTTATGAAAGCTCTTTTATCTACACCAATGAGAATAGAATCCTGTAAGGGATTTCTGGCCAACTACTTCAGATTTCATCTTATAGACACAGTGTATAGTATAATATGCCTACATAGGAAAACACATCTAAGTATGCACACACACACAGACACACACACACACATACACAGAAAGATCTTATGGATTTCATTTTAGAATTTTTGTCATGAGACAATAAACTGTAGTAATGCAAACTAACCAGTTTATAAAAGGACACCTAGATCCAAATTTTGTTTTGATAAATTAGGACCTATTCACATAGATCAAATTTGTTTGTCCCAACAGATAATTTTATGAAGGCTGTGGACCAAATTTTTGGGTATATCAGTTTGTTTGTTTTTTTTAAACAAAATCTTTTTTTTTACCCTTTTTCCATTTTCAAATGATTTCAGCATTAAATTTTTAAATGTTTAGATTTTAGTTAGGTCTTGGTGAACTGTATAAGGAAAATAAAAGTTTCAAGCAGCTTTGAGTTAGTAACTAAGCTTTCCTTTATTTGTCTCGTTTGGTTGACTAGTATGCGTGGGGAAGCATTTTAGCCATTTTTTTAAATTTGCTTTTTCTGGCCCCTGCATGGCAAACAAAGCAATTTATACACTAGACAGATATATATTATTACTCTGAGTCCAGATTTTGTCCCATTTAATCTGAGAGTTTAACTTTTCTATAAACAGTTATCTAGCTTGCTATTCTTTTTAGATTGTTTTATATAAATTTAACTGTTGCATCACCGTAAGTGATTGTTAGGTAGGTAAGCCCAAATTTACATTAAAAGAAATGACTCAGTTTTTGAAGGCTATGTTGCTCATTGTCATGGAGCTGTTATAATTTGTAAAGCCATTAATTTGAAACTCCTTTAAGACTATTTTAAAAATCTTGACTGGAATGTTAAAAGCAGTGAGTTTATCTTGATAATTGCAGAAAAGTCAGTGAATTGAAAGTTGGCAAAGAAAAAAAAGAGAGACAAACAGAACTTACAAGGCTCAACATTTTAATATGATAGGTAGTTGCAATTTTCTTAGAGAGTTCAAAAAATGATCATTGAACTCAGTTTTTCTGAGTAATTGATAAATCACTTAAAGACTGTACATAAGAATGGGTCATAATATAGTGGCTGGAATCCCTGAAGGAAGTTTATTGTTGAATGTCTTCAGAATTTCAGAATCCTATTCGATTTTTCATTAGTATCCCAAGAACAAAATAAATAAATAAATAAATTCTGTTAGGAAATATCAGGAATTTGATCCAGTGTTTTAGATGGTCACTGTTTTTGTATTGACTTTTATTAGCCATATCATACTCTTCATTTAAAATGTTTACTCTTGTTCCGGAAGATGTTCAGAAACAAAAAGAGTAAAAATTGTAAAAGATCCAGATTTTTTTACAGACGTGTAACCAAACCAAAATGAAACCAAAATCAGACTGTTCCCTAAACTATTAAGCCAAGCATGCAGATCAAACTAAATATTTGTTTTGATCACAAGAACCAAAAAATGATTATGCAAGAAATGATAGGAAGTCCTCACAAACTAAATATAAATTCTGTAGAAACCAGAGTACTCGCTAAAAGAATGCTTATCAGAAAGGGCTTGCCAGAAAAGACTTATAGCCCCAAAAGGGATGCAGGGTCTTTCATTAAAGGTGGCTTATAACCAAATTAGATCCAGAATATAGTAAAAACAAACAAACAAACAAAAAACTCACCAAGAGGAAGGAGTCCGAGAATTCTAGACGAGATTCACAGGACAGAAATGTGACTCTTGGAAACAGAGAGAACAAAGGGCTCAGTCACCATTGTGCTGGATTCCCAGTGGACGCTGATTTGTCCAAGGTCAGTCAACTTCAGTTGCACTTCTGAGGCATCATTACGTCAATCTAAATAAGAGAGAGGGAGACTCTCCAGAAGATAAATAAATGTTTTTCAGGATTAGGCATTGCAATGGGAATATGCATGCTATTGTAAACTATGTGCATATTCAGGAAAGTAAAGAAAGACATAGATTTTTAAGGAAAAAATGGAAAGGATACATAATTATCTTGAGACACTTATTTTTGGCTGTAAGAACCAATAACAAGGGTGGCACCAGTCCAAGCTTGGACAGGCATTTGCTGGGCAGATGTCCTTGCATCAGTATTTTCTTGAGTAAGACTGTGGTGAGATAGAAATAATACAGGGTGGTCCCAGGAGAATAGAGAATTCCAGTCAGCACTTTCACAATACTAGCAAAAGGAAACTTGAAATAGCTGCAGCAACTAGGGACTGATAAAAGCGTGAAAAACCAGGGTGTGCACCAACCTGGCTAAGGCTGACTGGACTCAACATGGCACTGGATTTGACCTAGGTTTCACCTAGGACCTCATTATACACTAATGAACAAACTAAATCACATACCCACCAGCAGCCTGACAGTTTCCAGGACACCTATATTTGGTGTAAAAATAAGTAGTACTACAGTTTCAAGAAATCTTTACCTTTTTCCAGGAATCTTCATGAATATTCCACCCTTTGATTAAAAAAAAAAAGAAAGAAAGAAACCCATAAAGAAACGGGCACGGTGGTTCATGCCTGTAGTCCCAGCACTTTGGGAGGCTGAGGCAGGTGGGTTCCCTGAGGTCGGGAATTCAAGACCAGCCTGGCCAAGATGGTGAAACCCCGTCTCTACTAAAAAATACAAAAAATTAGCTGGGCGTGGTGGCAGGCACCTGCAATCCCAGCTACTCCCGAGGCTGAGGCAGGAGAATCACTTGAATCTGAGAGGCAGAGGTTGTAGTGAACCAAGATTGCGCCATTGCACTCCAGCCTGGGCAACAGCATGAGACTCTGTATCAGAAAAACAAAAACAAAAACAAAAACAAAAACAAAAACAAAAACAAAAAAACCCTAAAGATAGAAACCCCAAATCCCCTTTGACACAACTCTCTCTTAAGTATGCTCACATTCTTTCTTCAGCGTGTTTTTCACTTTGTAATAAATCTCTGTACTTTCACTATTTTATGACTCATTTTTTAATTCTTTCTTAAAATTGTGTCAAGAGCCTGGACACCAGCTGGGGTCGAGGTCTTACCGGCATTTGGGGTCCTCCCCTAACCCACCAATATCACTGGTGGCTTTTGTGCAAGACTATGTATTTTGCAGAGTCTTTTGTAATAGTTCTTGTTATCAGGCATTTGTGCATAAGAACCGTACTTTCATGGTCTTCCCTGGATCTACTTGTCAGAGTTTTTAAAACACATGGCTCCATTTTAATTCCGATGACTTTCACATGTACGTGTATGTGTGTACTATCCTTAGTATGTTTAAAATATGTTTTATATATATTTCTATTCCCTTTGAGATTTTTGCATGTATTTTATAATAAATCTTGACTACAGTTGTATTCATCCATTCTGCATTGCTATGAAGGAATACCTGAGGTTGGATAATTTATATAGAAAAGAGTTTTATTTTGACTCACATTTCTACAAACTGTACAAGCATAGCACAAACATATCCTTGACATCTGGGGAGGCATCAGGAAGCTTATGATCATGGCAGAAGGAGGAGGAAGAGAAGGCGCATCATGTGGTGAGAGACAGGGAGGTCCCAGACACTTTTAAACAATTGGGTCTCATGGTAACTCATTACTATAATCCTCATTGTAATAGCCATTTATGAGGCATCCTTCCCCATGACCCAGAGACCTCCCACCAGGACCAATATTAGGACCTGCAACATTGGAGATCACATCATCAACACTGGGAAGCCTCCAACGCTGGGGATGACATTTCAGCATGAAATTTATTGACCATATCAATAGTGTTTATTTCTATTATGGTCCTTGTTTTATTTTAATATCATGGGGAGACTAGACTCACTGCAAATATTGAGTACTTTCACTTTTTGTATTTTTTGAAAGAATTAAGGTATTGTTGGAATTTCCTTCCTTGAAGTATGTGATATAACTCATCTGTAGGACTGAATTTTCTATTTGGTAGGTAAAACAATTTTTTAACATTAATGTATTTGATTGGATTGCTGTTTTTACATTTATACTGGAGTTTATTTTCTTGTTATATTTTTCTTTCTTTAAATGTAAATTATCAAATATGCTGTCGTTATATTGATCATATTGTCTTACTTTTTTAATACTTTTTAAATACATGCTGCTTTTATGGCCTACTTCTTTTTTTCTTCCCTAATATTATTTCTCCTTTGAGCAGAGAAGGAAATACTGTAAAAGTACTTCAGTTCTAATTTTTAAATTTCTTTTTAGTCTTAGAATTTTTGAAAAATTATTTATATGCTTTTTTGATCCTTTCATTTTATTTTTATATTCTTTTTAATTTCTTTTTTTTGTTTTAATTAATTTTTTTTTCCTGTTTGGGCTACCCAGTAGTTTATATCTAATCATCACTATTTATACATACTTTCTTTCCACACTGCTCCCACAGCTACTTTTAACACATTTTCATTGCATTTGCTGCTTTGCAACTTCACTATGATCTGAACAAATGAGAATCTATTTATTTCTTCCTGGAATTCATTCTTTTTCATTTAAGAATTTATGACTTTAGGCCGGGTGTGGTGGCTCATACCTCTAATCCCAGAACTTTGGGAGGCTGAGGTGGGGAGATCACTAGGTCAGAAGATCAAGACTATCCTGGCCAACATGGTGAAACCCCATCTCTACCAAAAAAAAAATACAAAAATTAGCTGGGCATGGTGGCTAGTGCCTGTAGTCCCAGTCACTTGGGAGGCTGAGGCAGGAGAATCGCTTGAACTCGGGAGGCAGAGGTTCCAGTGAGCCAAGATCATGCCACTTCATTCCAGCCTGGCAACAGAGTGAGATTCCATCTCAAAAAAAAAAAAAAAAAAAAAAATATATATATATATATATATATATATATATGTATATGTATGTATGTATAATTTGTGACTTTAAACATTTCTGGAAAACATTTAATCAATATACCTTTCTATGCTGCCTCTCCAACATTTTTCTCTATTAACTTTTTCTGGAACTATAAATAGAACTATGTTAAACTTTCTTCTTTTATCCTTCATATATCTTGGTATTCCTTCCATATTTTCCATTTCTTTGTCACTCTATGCTGCATATTACTGTTTTTCTTTTTTTCATATCTTCTTTTGGGAACATCTATTTATTTTATTTATTTATTATTTATTTTAAATTTTTGATAAAATGTCTCCTAAATAGAAGTGCTCCAGTTTCTATACATCTTCTGAACATTGAAAATGGTTGAGACATGTCACCTGCTACACTCTCCTATTCTATTAGTTCTTTTCAAATTACTTCTGAAGTTTTTTATTCTTCTTTTTAAAATTTTAGTCAATTAAGAAAATCATCATTTTGGAAACCTCACAATCTTGAACAGAGGTTCTTATAACAAAGCTCCCAACTTTCTAACCCTATGACTTGTTTAGCACTCCATATAGAAGTTATAATTTGATTATCTGTGTGCTTATTTATAACTTTGAGTTCCCTTTGGTGTTTTGGTGGTGGAATTGTAAACAGTTTATGCATAATAAAGTATTTTGACTATTGCTCTAAAACACGAGAATCCTTCTACATTATTTCAGACAATGCATTAATTGTTAAACTTTTCAGCTTCTAAAGACTTACCAAACTATGGATGATAATGTCTGTTCTAGGCATTTTCACAAATGCTATAAAAGCAAAATTTACATTTTTGCTCTTGTTTTAGTTTGATAATAAGCTGGTTTTTCTTAGAGGAATTTCGTTTCAAAAATATTATAACTGGAAGTTACACAAAAATGGAATTCAAGAAAAGTAAATTTGAACATCAAAGGTCATAAATGAAGAACTCTGCATTGACAGATGGAATAATTAGGTGAAAATAAAGTGAGTTAGAAATATATAAAGGTTATCCTATATTTTCAAACTTATTATAGAATTATCTGTTAATACTGATATCTCCTCTAGCATGTTTCTAACTCTAAAGTAAAATAGACAATATTATGTCAAACTTATAGATTGGTAAAATGAATGGCACAAAATCTTGCCTAAGACAATAGGTTGGCAACAAAGCTAAAAATGGGAAATTGATAATTATTTTCATAATATAAAGACATGAGCTATTTTCCTTGTCTTGCATCTACTAGACACTAACATTATCAAAGAAATGAATAAAACAAAATATTTTCAGTTGCAAATTTGGGTAAAAAATATATTTTTTCTGATTTCAAAAAAAAAGCGTTACAATGAGCCTCTGAAATGGAAAAAGAAAATATGTAACTTTAGTTACAGCTCTAAGACTGTTCAATGCTTGGTAAAACCAAATAAAAACAGAACATTAAATTTAATACTGAGGAAGAATCAATGATAATCCTGTTAGTTTCTGTTGTGTACTACACACTGGCTTCAAACATGTAAGGCCTGAACCTAAGAACACAATTTCCTCTATTTCCTTTACTATTTTCATTCTGCTAAAATAACTAACTCCTTAGCTTTTCTTTTTCAAACTAGTAAAGTTAGTAAGGAAAGGAGTTTTCATTTTAATTCATATTCAAAACCCAAAAATAAAAACAGAGAACTTTATTAATTGCTCATATTTTCCAATAGTAGTTGAAGCAATGAGATAAAAACAAAACCTAAAGGTAAAAAAGTATCTTACTCTCAGACATTTATTTCAGTAAAATACAGTTGTACATTGTGATATATGATATAACTTTGATTCAAAAAGATGAGGAGTGCAATTTCCCATACTCTGGACATCTGACAAGTATGTAGATGACACCTTAATATCTGTGTGTGTGATAATCAGCCACTGTTTACTTATTATAGCAACTAAGAGGACCAGATAAAATAATGTACAGGAACATTACTTGGTAAACCACCAAATATACATTTTAAGTAGACAACTCCTACAGCAGAGACAATTATAAAGTGTATCTAAGTATTAAATTGATCAAATCTTGCCCAAAATTCTACTTCAATATTCATTTCGCTAATGTTCTCCTCTGCTTGTATACACTGAGGTACAGCCCCTCACTAAATATTATTTTGGTTTCTATTAGCTATTGACTACCAACCAATGGGAAATATGATGGTATATATGAGTGACTAAAAATAGACAAAATTTTGTCCTCTGGAGCTTCTAGTGTTAGAGTAAGGCATCAATCAAAATAGCATATTATGTTAAAATTATAATTAATTATAACAGGAACTAAACAAAAGTGGTGTACTGATTTTGGAAGGTTTCCCTTAAAGGTAATACTTGTGGTGAGATTTAAGGGAAAGTAGGAAGTAAATAAGTGAAAATGATGAAAATAACATAGAAACACTCTACTTTGGGTGTCTGGCAATGGTGAAGAAATGGTACATGGAATTGGAGAAGGCAAGCCAGAAGGCAAAGAAAATTCCTCACAGATGACTCTTTGCTGGTAAACAAGGGCTCAGAGACTTTATCTCAAGCACTTTGGGAAGCTGATGAATAGTTAGAGTGAAGATGTTACAGATTTGTGTTGTTTAAAACATTACTCTTGGATTGGGGCAGGGAGGATTCTGGAGAAGCCATAGATACATGAATTAGTTAAGATATTATCTTACCCTAAAGTTGCATGTAATTGTTCAGTATGTTTGTCTAGTAATAAAGAAGAGATTGTCTTTTTTTCCCATTTTAATCTTATCGGATATACAGATAATCCCTCATTCCCTAAAGAAAGATAGAATAGCTTCTTCCCCTCACTACGGTCTTGTTTCATGGGGTATGTGTGTCCCACTTATTACCCATATCTATGGAATGTTAACAATGGCCTATTTTGCAGCATTTCCAATTCTTCTATAAGCAACTGGATGGATTGATTGAAAAACCAACTGACACTAACTATCCATGTACTACATGTAACTAGAACTGGAACTGCGTGTCAGTAAACATAAAACTCTTTGAAAGCAAGCACACAACTCATATTAGGCTCTCAATAAATAATTATGAAAATAAATAATTATCTATCTAACATATGTATATACACCTCTGCTTTTCTATAATAGAATGAAAAAATCCCATAGGCTCATGCACATCCTTCTTACATGAGTAAGTAATTGCAGAACTAATTCAGGCCAAAAGAAATTAGCTGAGAAATCAGGGAATATTAAGATTTTATGCAATAAAATCATTCTACAGAAAATATGTTCCATGACTAGCATAGCATAGAGTGTAATAAAATAGTCTTTAAAATAAATATGGCATAATTTTCTCCCATCTTCAAAGCAATCAGAAATTGCCGTATGTTGTTTGTTCTGACTTTGAGTGTTTTTTGACTTATTTAACATATACATATTTATGCATATTTGATTAAAGTAATGCCAAGACTTAAATTTTTTTTTGAAATTAGAAAGAATAACTTTTGACTAGTTAATACTGTGTTAAATCTCATTCTATATTCTTTGAAAGAAAATGGGCCTTTAAAAATGTGAGACTTTTAATGTTAAATTTACATATCTATTTTGAGGAGCACGCTTTCATTGTTCTGTGTCACTTCATATCCATTATTATTCACAGACTTGTATCAGAAATGTATTTGTATAGAGAGTATCTTTGAAATTACTTTTCTTAAAGTGAAAAAATTGAATCAATATCTTTCATGATTCCATTGTATCCTGATTTGGGTGGCAAGGAATTAGGAAGGAGAAAGTGCAGTTTGTCCTCTCTCTTAAACTTATGCAAGTTATGAGCTGTCCTTTCTTCCTAACATTTAATTTAAAGCATATCTAGGACATTTGGAAAAGTTGTAAACTGACAAGTAAGTCAAAATCCTAAGAAACATTTGACATCCTTACAGATAAACTTGTGCTTTTTTTTTTTCATCTTGAAGTCTCTGGCACCAAGAAGCAGATATGATGGTATCTCTCTTGACACTAAATTGTGATGAATGTATCATGTCAGTTCAAGATTAAAAGCTACACTTAGTAAAAAGTGTCCTTTATACACAAAACTGGACATTCAGATCAGACCATGAAATATGC
Source organism: Homo sapiens (assembly GCF_000001405.40). Classification (NCBI taxonomy): domain Eukaryota; kingdom Metazoa; phylum Chordata; class Mammalia; order Primates; family Hominidae; genus Homo; species Homo sapiens. Next base: position 25,956,667 of record NC_000005.10, on the reverse strand, counting down.
TGACACTTCTAATAGCAACACATTTTTTGTGTTTGGTCATTGTTTCTGCCACAAATGCCTATATTCTTGGGTTCTAATATCATCTACAAATAGATACTTTATAAACATGCATAGCAGTACATTTATTCCATGATTTTTATTATCTATAGTCACTCTACACAGTGACTATATTAAAATGAGCATGAGTTTGAAAGTTTGAATGACTTACTCTTTCTGCCACTGCTCATTAAGGTATATTTCCTCATCTTTCTCATCTCACTGTTTTTCTTTATAAATATAACAAAATAAGTTAACATGTAAAGAAGAATAATAACCTGCCAGCCCCAAATATTATCAGTGTAGTCCAAACTGCTAAGGAATACAAATTATCTTTAGCAGTGAAAGCAGTTTTAATGGCTTCCATACACAAATCTGGGTTAACAAAATGATGGTGTCCATAATTGCCTTTTCATGGGCAATTATGAGGTTATAACTTCCTTGCAATATGTTTTTTATTTTTGATTATTTCAGAGGAGTTAGACATTATAATGGTCTTGTTGATAACGACTTGCCTACCTGCTCAATTCTTACTTCTAATGTCTTGTGGAACATAAGCCTATTTAGTACACTTAATGTCAGTCAGAAGGCTATATTATAATTACACTGCTAATAATAGCACACTGCTAATAAACACAAATCCTATTGGTCTATCAATAATTTCTCTATATAGATTTGTTTGTAAAGCACATCCTTGGAAAGTTACTGAAAAGTTACAAGATTTTATTTTGGGAATGTTTAAAAAGGAAGCAACAAAACTAAGTGACTTCTTCAAGAAACATGGAAACAGAATTTGAATCAGGCATCATTTTGAGAGCTGTATCCATTTTGATGCACCAGTGCCCATCCCTTCACTAAATTAATTCACTTTTTAGAACTATAATTCGAAGTTCTGTCAAAGCCCTTGCAAGCCAAATATTACATGTTCCCAAATGCATTGCTCTTCTCTACATGCCATCTGCACCTGTGTCTAGGGTGAATTACACAAGGAAAATGTAAGCACGGTGGGTAAAAGATAGCCTACGAAAACAGTATAAAGCTCAACTTAGAGCAATTTGGCATAGTTGCATACAGCTGGGAAGTGAAAGCAGCAGATGGGTTATGTTGACTTCCTGAAATCAGAAATGAGAAGGCTTATATCTAACAAAAATTTGCATAGCCTCTAAGGCAAAGGCATTGCAGACTTTGCAAATGATAACCACAGAACTGTAAGGTGACATTCTTGAAGTGGCATGTGAATAATAGTATAATTGGCAAGAACTGTATAGATACAATTTCAACTACAACTTCATATTTTTGTAAAAAAAAAAAAAGGAAGGTACAGATAAATGGGACCAAGAGTTATTTTTATGCTACAAAAAAAGACTTTACAAATGAGTTTTCTCAGCCATATATAGAATCTATAGACTATTGGAATTATACCGCTAGAATTGAATATTTAGTTAGGAAACTAATAAAAATTCAAGAGCAGGAGCACTTCTAGTACTACTTTTTGGTTTTGTACATTTTGTTTTCCATTTTTGTGTTGAGCTATAGTGTTCCAAGAATATAATCAAACAAATGCTTGATACTTGCAAATTTAATTCACAGTGTATTTAACAACAGCTTGTTTAAAACCTGTAAGATCCCTTGACCCCTTCTTTTAATAATGACTTGATTCATTATACAAAATATATGTTAAGGTAAATGATTTCACTTCCAACAATGAAATACTGTGCTATAAAATTGTAATAATATATTGCCTTATTAGAATGTTATATGAAATTAAACTAAATATATAATTTTATTAATTATGCAAATGTGTATTACTTGGTTTCTATGTGCTACATCAGGAACTATATTCAACCAAACTGCTGCAGATTGAAATCTACATAGCTAAGCAATGTTATTCTTTATTTAACACAACAAGTTCAAATTATCCAAAAGAATTTTAAATATTTTGCCTAGATATGATTTTAGGTACCAAGATATTACTATACTATTACTTGATTTGAAGTGCAATGTAGCTTTTTAACATTTTCTAATTTTTCCCAGCTCTGTGTGTTTACTTGATTTTGTGTCGACTCCTGGTGTCTCTGAGATGATTAGACTGGCAAAGGTCAGATGCTAAGTGGCTTCCTGCACATACCGTTTCCCCCACTTATATCATTTTGGTATTGTTGGTTTTATCATAGTCACTTGAAAATCTATATAAATGAGTTTCCCTCTTCAACTGCCCTTTCATTTCTGTGGCAAGAATAACTTTTCCCCATATCTCAAAGGAAATGTTAGAGTGTGTATGACTGCTTGTGTAATAAAAAATGTCAAAATACACATTTCTCAAATTAGTTTCATATTCCACAACCGCCCATCTCTGTTTTAATGGTCATTTGGCTGTCTGGAATCAGTATCTCAGCCCATTTGAAACTATTTAGTCCTTGGTAAAATTGCTCTGCTGTTCTCTCTCAAATGGTTCAAATGGAGCAATCATTGTCAAGGTGATCTTGAGTTTCTGAAAGAGAAAAAAAATACACAAAAGTTATACTTTCTGAAAAGCTGTAGAAAAATAAAACACACACTCAGAGGTGTGAAACATGGCTTCTCCGTAACAGAAGCACAAAATTTCTCCTGAATTTCTTCTCATTTCCATACTGATAAGAAAGAGAAACTAATTTTCAATTTTAAAATTGCATTCACATTAAAGTTAGACTAAACTATGAAGGCAGTAAATACAGGCAGAATAGGTCATTATCCTCAGGGATCAAGGGAGTTGGAAATAATTTTTTTCTCTTGACTATTTTGTAAAATCTTTGGATATTTATTTTATTGTGTCATGTTTTGGTACAAATTTATCAAACTAGATTTATAATGAAAGGAAGGTAAACAGATATGCATTACACTATGTCTTAAATGTATTCCCAAATTAATATACATTGCATGTTTTCTTTTTCTAGTTGTTAGTTAAGTAATCCAAAATATTCACATTAGAATTTCCATGAATTACATTGAGAAAAATAAGGTTAATTCTAAATGCATCTCATTTTTTTCCATATCAAACCTAGATAGATTGAGTAGGTCCTAGAACAGGATGTATCTGGATATAAAAGAACTAATCAGAGAGTTACCTAAGCAGAGAGAAGAAGGTAGAATACCAAAAATATCTTTATCGATTTGACACACTTGCTGAGAGTTTTCCTTGAGTTTAATCTGTTCTAAGGATGGAAATTATCTTTTCTTCCATGCGCAAATGGTGACCTGCTGGTAATAATCCCAAAGACTTTGTTGCAATGAATTTTAAGGTTAAGTTGAAAAAGCTCAGTGATTTATTTACTTTCTGTAGCAGTGGGGTCAGAAAAGAATTGTAGCAGGCTGACAGAAAATTTGGCAGTCTTTCTTATTTCACTAATCTGTTTTGTTGTTGTTTTTCTCTCAAATATATTTTATTTTTTCTAACTAAAAAACATCATACCTCATTTAGTTTTTTTTTTTCTTTCTTTCAGGCTACAGTCTATGCCAACAGTTTTACATTTCTGTAATCCTCCAAACTATGATATTTAGTCTGTCAAATTTGCTTTACCTGTAGTCCATGATACTTTTTTAAAAACTGAATATTAAATACATTTCTGCCAGGCCATACCCTGGCTTTTGATTCATTCTTCGCAGATGTAAATTTAGAGGAAATGCAATTATTTCCTTTTCAAATTAAACATTTTTATGTTTCAGACTGACATATATTTATATTAATGAAGGATGAATATGTCCAAAAAATTATGTGCTCTTACTTTTTCACTTAAAAAATTGGGTAACTGAATTTTAGAATGCTTGAGATTTATTTTGTTCCGAGATGTATAATTAATAGCATGGTAGAATTTGCAGCCAAGTTTATAAAGATTATTTTTTTTTTTTTGAGACAGCATCTTGCTCTGTCACCCAGGCTGGAGTAAAGTGGAGTAATGTAGGTTCACTGCAGACTCTGCCTCCAGGGTTCAAGTGATCCTCCCAGCTCAGTTTCATGAGTAGCTGGGGCTACAGGCCCATGCCAACATGCTCAGCTAATTTGTAAAAAAAAAAAAAAAAAATTGTAGAGACAAGATCTTACTGTATTGCCCAGGGCTGGTCCTGAATTCCTGGGCTTAAGTGTTCCACCTCAGCCTCACAAAATGCTAGGATTTTAGGCATGAGCCATCGTGGCTGTCTTTTTCCCAATGCTTTTCAAGATCATCTGTGATTCTCTTAATACTATACACCTTCCGGGACTCTCTTTGACCTAATACAGCGTCCTCATACTTTTGGTATATTGGGTGGTAACAGATCAGTTTTAAAGTGTCAGTGTTTCCATACCCATGAACTCAGGAATGAACACTCGAATGTGATCATTCTCAGATGCAACTTGCACTCAGTTATTATGGTAGAGCATCATCCAGAAGTCTGGGCTTTAGTAACTGCCTAGGCTTGCTCTATATTTTATTTAAGGGCTATTGGGCACAAGTACTAGGAAATTCATTGCAAGGAAGATAGGCTTTGCAGTCACAGAGATCTGGGTTTGAATTTATTTGCACCTAACAAATATTTGATGTTCTAGAATTCCCCCAATTCTCTCTTCTAGGATGTCCAGTTTTTAGCTTTCTATCCAAGAATTCTTACTCTCAAAAAAGGTCATTGATATTGGCTTGAATTAACTTTCTGGGGAAACTGACTTATAAACAGACATATGTGACATCTCATATTGTGATATTTAATTTATTATTTTTGTTGATGTAACAGTGAGTTCTGGAGAGGTAGATCAAAGTAAAGGTAAGGAATTACAGGCTGTTATTTGAGAAAATAATTGTAGGCATAGCCATGTTTCAGCTAACATAATTCCCTTGCATGAGAAGGCTATATTTGAGGGTTATAGGATTAAGTAGAAGTGGAGGTTGAATTACCAGTGATATTTATAAAACGTAGTAACCATTTAGCAACTTTGATAGGCTAGGTTTCTGTCAACTTACAACAACAGATACCTTGAGGATAACATAAGGGTAGTCAATGTTGTGTCTCTAATTACTAAAAGGTAACTAATTCCCTTTCTGATATTTGAAAAACAATTTTTTAGCATGTATCATTTATGGTGATGCTGCCATAGTGTGTGCTTGGTTGGTACACCAGATACAATAAGCCAAGGGCATTAACCAGTGTAAAAAGTTGAAATCAAGTTGTATGCCCCAGATCCTCTGTTTATATGCCACATAGAAGATAATGGAAGGAAAAATAAATTGGGCTTTAACAAGATTGGAGGCCATTAACATATTTAATATATCTCTGAAAAATTGGTCCACAGATCCCAACAAGTTAGTAAGCATCCTGTGTAAACGGCTTGGTAAATACATAGATCTTCTTTAGAATAAATTCAGTCTGTATTAATATAAATATTGAAACTGGACAAAGTGTCTCATAGAATTCATGTTTACAGCCTTTTAAAATATAGATAGAAATTGACCTTCCCAAACTTAAAGCTTGAAACTTACATTTCTCTTATCTAAGTTCCTTCCTCAGGAAACAGACCCTCAGTCCTCCAAGATAATATCAAGGAACTGAAACTCACCAGATCACCACATCCAGACCATGAGAAGCCAGACCCCACATCTTCATGATTTCCTTACTCTTCCCAAATTCCCGTTTACTGGCAGGTAGCTGCATTATTTTCCTGCTATATAAACCCCCAGCTTAGTCAGTGAGGCAGATGGATTTGAGACTGATCTGCCATGTCCTCAACTGCAGCACCTGATTAACGCCTTCTTCCGTGTCAATACTCATTGTCTCAGTGATTGGCCGTCTGTGTGGTGAGCAGCAGGAGCTAGACTGAATGCCTGATGATTTGATAACATTACCAATGTCATAGAGTTCATGGCAGGAGGCACTTGAAGTTTTAAAAAGTATGAATTTGCCTCTTTTTTCCCAAAGAAAATTATCTTCATAGGAGAGGGAATTAAGGCAATATAGTTGGCAATACTGGCATTGAGTTAGAAGCCTTCAGGCTTCAAATAATTTGAGTCGCCTACATTTTTGCCTGAGGGCATATCCCACAAATATTATAGAAAAGTCTAATACATTTTGGCTCTTTCTATAAAGGAAGTTTGTAAGAGAAACAATGTGTATTAAATTGGAATTTTTTCAGGCCCTTCATGAACAGCATTAAGAAATCCTTTACAGAAGAGAATATGGTTTTATTGAGACTCAATGGAAAAATCCAACGTAGGTGTTTAAGGCAAAGGAAACAACATGTCGAATGGCAGGGAACATGAAAATCAAAGTCCAAAAGTTTGAGAGTGATCGAGTATACAAAGAAATTTAAAGAAGAACTTTGTTGTGTGCATACTATGAAGGGATGTGGAGTCATCTTTGATGCATTTTCAAAGTTAAAATGAACCATTTCAAAACTGTGAGCAAAGGCATAACACAACTAAATATGTATGTTAATGAGAAGATATTTTAATGAGAGTGTAAAATGGAATGTGAGGAGACAAGACTAGATAAGAAGCCAAGAAAGTAAAGATGTGGCCCTGAATTAAAGTACTAGCATGGACTTAGATAGGAATAGGTAGATACAATAGAAATTTGTGAGACAAAATTGTCAACTTCATTGAAATACAGAAATTAAAAGAAATAGAGGAAGGCATGTAAGATGTCTTCTTTTCTGACTAGGATGTTTTCAGACCAGTTGATAACTGGGTGGATTGCAGAGTCATCCACTAAGGAATGAACTATAGGGGATAGGCATCTTCGAAGTATGAAAATGTAAAATTTTAGGTGCTCATGGGCCATCCAAGTGGAAACGCCCAATAGATACAGGGATGAAGTTATGGAGCTTGTGAAATATTGTTGGATGTGTATGTAAATTTTGGATTCATCATTGGGTTGGTAGGAGCTAAAGAAATTCAATTCCTAGAGAAATGGCTTTACTGAATTGTCTCGTAACTTTAATGAAATCCACATTATAGTTATTTCAGTTTGTATACGCTAATTAGTGTGGGACAACTGGAAATGCTACTTAAAGCAGAATCTATATTGCAAATTCAGATATACCTTTAAAAATGCATTTTATGATTAAGAATAAAAATTAAGAGATTAACTACAACTTTAAAAACACCTTATGTGGCAAATTCTAACCACAAAGATCCTATAAGTATTGCAATGTGATATGTATATTTATAAAATATATGTATATATGCCTGTATACATGTGAATATGTATCTATGTATCATATATTTTATAGTCATGCATTGCATAGTAATGTTTCAATCAACAACAGACCACATACACAATGGCGATCCCATAAGGTTATAACAAAGCAAAAAATAATTCTACTTCCTAGTGACCTCTTAGTCATCATAAAGTTGTAACACAAGGCATTACTTTTGTGTTTATTGTAAAACAAACCTACTGCCCTGCCAGTCCTATAAAAGTGTAAGATTTGTACATGCATACAATTATATACAGTACATAATACTTGATAATTATAATAAAAGGCAATGTAACTGGATTATGCATTAACTATACCGTCCTTTTTATTGTTATTTTACAGTGTAGTTCTACTCATTTAAAAAATAATATGTTAAATGTAAAACAGCCTCAGGCAGGTACTTCAGGAGGTATTCCAGAAGGCATTGTTATTATAGGAGTTGGCAGTGCCATATGTGTTATTGCCCTGGAAGACTTTCCAGTGACACAAGATGTTGTAGAGGTGGAAGACAGTTATATTAATGATCCTGACCCCGATTGCCCCAAGACTTTCCAGTAAGGCAAGATGTAGAGGTAGAAACAGTTATATTAATGACTCTGACCTGTGTAGGCCTGGATTAATGTGTGTGTGTCTTAGTTTTCCACACACAGAAAAAATATTTGAAAGTTTAAAAAATTAAATACAAAAATATTATAAAATAGAGATATAAAAAATAGTATTTCTGTACAGCTGTAAAATTTGTGTTTTAAACTGTTACTATAAAAAAGTAAAACTTTAAAAAGCTTAAAAATTTGTAAATTTAAAAGTTACACTAAGGTAAGGTTAATTTATTATTGAAAAAAGAATTTTGAAAATAAATTTTCTGTAGCCTAAGTGTAGCGTGTTTATAAAGTCTACACTAGTAAACAGTGATATCCTAGGACTTCACAATTTGCATAACACTTACTGACTCACTCAGAGCAACTCCCAGTCCTTCAGGTTTCATTCATGATCAGTGCCCTATAAATAAGTACCATTTGTTACCTTTTAAACTGTGTTTTTACTGTACCTTTTCTATGTTTAGCTATATTTAAGCACACAAACACTTACCGTTGCGTTACAATTGTCAACAGTATTCACTATATTATACGGACTACACAGGCAGGAGGCTATACCATTTAGGTTTGTGTAAGTACACTATTATATGTACAAACAATGACAAAGTTGACTAAAGAAGCATTCCTCAGAATATATCCCCATTGTTAAATGACATGTGACTGTATACATATGCATTTATATGTAAATAATTTGTTTTAAATGTTGAAATTCAAATGATTTTTTTCAAACTATTTTGCTCTACTATAAGTAATTTTCTGTGACTACCTTCCTAGGTATATTTTTGTTGTTGCAATGGCTGTTGGAATTATCGATAGTAACCTTTGAAATGCAAGCAATTTCATGTATAGAAAATTGTGTCTTTGTATTTCCTTTACCGCTTGCTAAGGATCACAGCAATAACTCTGATCCCTGGCTTTCTTTAAATAAATATCAAATGTGTTACTGCTTATTCTAAATTCTAGAGATCTAATTGTTTTTAATAATATTATAATGCACTTTGCACTTAGAATCACTAGGGCATATTGGCACCTTTAGTAATAATGAAAAGTTATGAGTGTCTAATATTTCCATATTAAAAAAATAAATTCATTAGCAACTTTTATTTGTTCATATTTTCTTAACGCACACTGAAAACACTTGTGTATTTTAAATATTGTTGCATTACAGAAAAGAAGTGATCAGAAATATATCTTACATATGTAACATATTAGTAAGCCTCTCTATTAAATGCATTTGTTATACAGTTTTCAACATAGATCAATTTATACTACTGGAACTCAAATTTACAAGATATTAGTAAGACATAAATGATCTATTCTACCTTATTTATAAACAAACTCCCCATAACCAATAACAATTATTTGCCATTTGTAACCTCACCTCATAAATTTCTATTGAAAGCAGTAATTGACATTTCCTGTTATTCCTGTTTTTCACTTCCATGCTGTACATTAGAATTTTATTTTTAAACTCTTCCTACTCCTCCTCCCTCTCCTATGTCTCCTCCTCCTCTTACTCTTTTTTTCTCCCACCTCGTTTGCTTCTCTCCTATTTCTTCTTCAGATTTATGTTTGGTTTCCTAATGGTGAGAAAGGATCACCTTTTTAGTTATCTCTGCTGTCCTTGGCTCTGCTTTTCCCACTTTACATGCTACCCTTTCTGATACCAATAATTTACTCTCAGTTTTTTATTCTCACTAACTCCAGTTTTGGAGTTTTTATTTTTTTTCCTGAATCTTGTTATACGATTTCCTAAGAGACTCTAACAACAACTCAGATTGTTCTGTTCAATATTTTTTCTTTTATTCTTTCTCACTTCCTAAGCCTTGAGACTTTGAGGTTTTGTTTCGTGTTTGAGACTATAATGTTTGGCCACCTACCGTGCTGTTTTCCTTCCAAAAGCTTTTTTCAAGAGACTTAATTTAGCTAAATTTCATTGTATACTTTAACTAATATGATGATAATATATATTGCAATCAATGGTTAAATAAGGGCGTGTTTCATTTTGAGTCACACAACAAAATCTATCACATTTTAAGTTAAATTTTTTTTTATTAATAATCCCTCCAAAAGAAAACCTCATTCAGTTGGAGATATTTTTAAATAAAGCTATAGCACAATGAAGATAATAGCCAGTCATATCATAATATTAAGGTAATTATTTCACTTATATACATAATAATGATATCATTTCATGAGAATAGTAACAGATGATTATAGTCTGATTTACATGATTTTAAGCATGCTCATAGTTGTTTAATTATTTCGTCGAAGACTAAATGATTAAGAATTTCATAGGAAGTGGGTAAAACTAAGTACATTCTGCATGTTAAGGAACATTACAAACATATTGAGATCTTTACCTTTGGGGATATATTAGAACTGCTTTTCAGGCACAGTGAAAACATAAGCTGGGTGCAAGATAAACTTTACATTTATTAAAGCCTAATTGCTTAGGCCATGAACTCAGATAAAGTGTATACTTACTGCGTGAACTAAATTCTTTCTTCTAGGGACCTTTGTTTTTCTAACATCCTTATTATTACACAAACTGCTTACTACTAAATTTTCTGGGCAGTCTCTTCTGAGCAGGTAAAAAAAGGCTGATAGAAAATAAACAAGTGACTTCTAATTCATCACAGCCCTGTCAATGCCCTTTGTCAATAGTGTTGCTATAAAACATAGGGAATGAAAAAATATTCTTTTTTGATAATTCCAGGTTTAACCATATTTCAAAGAGCAATGTTAGGTAATAGTGTTTATTATTTTCTGGTAAAATGTTATTAAAAGCAAAAATAAATTAAACATAAAAGAAAATCATATATGCAGTTTTCACTGCATGATCTGCCAGTAGGCACTGACATAATTCATGAGAATAATAAGTGAATGAGCTTATTTCTTTTCAGTTTAACATTCAAATGAATATAATTCCACATTGTCTGACAACATGATTGTAATGCCAGAGGCAGAAGACTTGAGGATAACAAAAGATCTCAGACTAACAAAATGGTCGAATTCTTCAATGTCCCTACCTTTCACCATTTTTTTTTTCAACAATAAGTAGCTGGATGGGATAAAGTAATGCCAACAAATTGTGGAAAAAATTTTATATTTCATGGATCTTGCCAACCTCCCTGGTAAATAACCGCTTATGATCTGCTGGACAGGGCTGATACAAAGGTTGTTTATGAATCGCACAATAATCACGATTATGACAGGAAATCTACCACACTGAGGAATGAAATGCTGTGCCATCCAAAAAGACATAGAAAGTCACACCTAAATATCAGTTCATGGCCACCTGGAAATTTGGCTCAGTTTTGGGATTTTTGAAAGGGAAACTATTATAGTAGTTGAAATAGCTGTTGTTCAATTTATCTCTGAGTTCAGTACATTGTAAAAGCCTTGGATTTCTGTCAAACTGAGAAGTTTGAGAGAGTCAGGAAATAGGGAAATGAAGGATGAGGGACTCAAAATCACTGGGTAGAAGCTAAGTTACCTCTAAGAGTCTGTTGCCCATAACATCCGTATAGAAGGCTTTCTACTTTTATGGCAAAAGGAAAACTTCCTGACTGGCCTAGTGAGTTTAAAATAAATACTAGTAACATTTTTTTTTTTCAGTAAAAAAGCAGCACTTAATTTCTAATGGCTGAACTCTGCCAAGGAGAAAATTTATACAGAGTTATAAGGTTTGTTGTAAAGGGTAGACAGAAAACTATATAATCAATTTACAGGTAGTAAATCAGGATTTCCTGCTAACAAAGTGCCAAGAGAGCAAAATTAAATTACTTCTATAAGATGCACATGCAATTGCCTGGGGGTTGGAACGTCTTGCTAGTGGAGAGAACAAGATACAAAAAGCAGAATACCAATAATAGAGAGAGTATGACCTAACCCTTTATTGTCTTGCTAAACTCTTGCCAAAAGTATTGGATAATATCTCAGCGTCTTTGGCATACATCTGAACAATAGACAGTAAGTCAAAGAAATCACATAAAAGCACATTATCTCATACTGCAACCTTAATTTTAACTCCAACCCAGTCATATTTTCAGAAGATTTTTAACAGTCTGAGTGAAGTAATGCTTAGAATTCCAATGAACTAATGCTTACGTCACTGACCGAGTATTAAGACGCAAAGGAACAGTTGAAATGATTAAAAGAGTATGAACCTCTATATCCAGGAAACTTATCTACTAATATTAACCAAGAGACGAAAGATTTCATCATGATTTCATCCCTTCATTAATCTAATTACCAATGTTCAGGAGGCAATTGTTCCTCTGATATAACACTTTGAATGCAATCTTAAAGCCCTGGTAAGTCTATTTAATGAGGATCCCAATCGACTTCCTATCTAAGAGGATAGACTATAATGAATATTTTAGACCAGAGTCAACATGCTAACAATAGAAATTTTCTAAGGACTTAAAAAGCATTTTGCTGTAACTCTTTGATCTAAACTATGTAACTATGGAGACTAAAACAAAAGCACTTAACACAATTATGACTGATATATAGGTCAATAGCCATAAATTTGGTATTGAGTGATAGAATTAAGTCTGGGAAGAGAAGGTGTATTTATGGTCACTGTACTACAGAATCTATATTTATGTCTAAACTGTATGGCAGGAGTCAGGTTCTAAGGAGATTTAGACAATCCTGCTTTACTACTGGTAGTGTGAGTCTTCAGAATATACGAACCATAGGTCCTAACAAGATTTAAGATCTGATGCCTGTACCACCATACATTATAGTTGGGTAAATATTCCAGCTTTTTTAAGGGCATCAAAAGTACTTTCCAATATTGCACCAATAATTTGAAAAACTACCAAGTAAGGTATATATGTGGAAGAAAAATTACCTAATTGTAACTCTCTCTCTCTCTTTCTCTCTTTCTTAAATTCAAGTTGTTATCAGGAATGGTGGCTCAGGCTGTAATCCTAGCTACTTGGGAGGCTGAGGCAGGAGGATTGTTGGTGCCCTGGAGTTGAGGCTGCAGTGAGTTATGATCGCACCACTACACTTCAGCATGGGCAATAGAGTGAGACCTCATCTCTAATAAATAAATAAATAAATACATACATACATAAAAACTTTGTCACATGCAATTTTTAATTCAACTTACAGGAATAGTTCCACAATAAGTCTTTGGGTGATATATGTTCTTGATCTCTTATCATACAATCAATTAATTTTAGTTATTTAATAATGGCAAAAAATGGTTGATTTGTGCCACCATAAATTAACACCTTTAGCATCTTAGGTCCATAAAGTAACCATATGAAATATATCAATTCACAGTGAACTATTTCCATATAGGTCACATATTCTCATATTACATAAGGAACAGTAGGCATTATTTTAACTTGGAAAAGAATTTAACCCAGCCCCAGGCAAGCTCTATACTATTTTGAATTAAGCTAATGCACAATTTTCATCACCAGTGTACCTGGCCCACAGATCTAATTTTATTGATATGAGGATGACAATGATCTACATCTTTTTATTTTATATCAAAACTGTATTAGTATTCTGTTCTTGTCTTATAATTTATTTGGAAGGAATATGAAGTGGACCATTGATTAAATTCCACTAGTTGCCAACCTGGCATGTGAAATCAATGCATACTATTTATCAACTGAACTGGAGATATCAAAAGAAATACTTTAGATTTCATTGACTGTATATACTTAATCAAGTTGAGTTATAAATCCAAATAAACCCAATGCATCTAACCAGTGACAAACTCATTAGATTTCTACATATGGGGGCTATGTTTAAAGACCTGACATTGCACCTGCCTTCAAATATGTCCTTTTGGATACTATAGATAGATCATGCATCCATAGAATATTATTTATATGATTATGATGGTTCATAAGCAATGTCAATTAATACAATAGATCACAGAACTGAAAGAAGAGCAGCATAAGTGCAATTTGAAATTGAGCATATATTTCTAAGAATGTCTACATTCTGTCTACGATCTGTCTACAGTAAATGGGCATGCCAATATCTTAAGCCTTTGCCCCATTAGGAAGTTAAAGATGATATTCTCTAAAATTAGGGATGCAAAAAATGAGCATATTAATTAAAATGGATCCACAACATTTTCCAAAAGTGCAAAAATTAAAAGAATCTTTATTCTATGCTGAGTAATATTATCTTCAAGGCAAAGAGAGACCAGTAGGGATTATGTTAAAAAGAAATACTACAATATTATCTGTATGATTAAGCACAACCTGAACTAGAAAATTAAAGTAGACTAAAATCAATTTTTTAAAAAAAAAAAATCCATGTCCACTTTCACTGAGCTTCATCCAATATTCTTTATCACACAACATTCTTGATATGTTTTGGATTAGTGTCCCTGCCCAAATCTCATGTTAAATTGTAATCCCCAATGTTGGAAGTGGGGCCTGGTGGGAAGTGACTGGATCAAGGGGGCAGATTTCCCTCTTTGGTGCTTTTCTTATGATAGAGTTCTCACAAGATCTGATTGTTTAAAAGTGTGTGGCACTTCCCACCGGACCCTCCTGCTCCAGCTATGTAAGACGCACCTGCTTCTCCTTTGCCTTCCACCATGATTGTAAGTTTCCTGAGTCCTCCCCAGCCATGCTTCCTGTACAGCCTGCAGATCTGTGAACCAATTAAACCTCTTTTCTTTATAAATTACCCAGTCTCAGCTATTTCTTTATAGCAGTGTGAGAACAGACTAATACTTTCAAGAATCTCTATAATAAAATAACGTAATAATTCTCAGTGAGGGGCCAAACCTCCTATAAGATACATCCAAATCTACAGAGAAGTATTTTTAATATGTCTCTCTTGGAAAATTATATGCTATGCTCAATATTACTGACCTTATGACATGGAAATTTTTCAAATGTGACTGTTCATCAAAATATGAAAAAGAAAGTCCATTTAGTATGAATCCTGGCATACTAATAATTAGTAACCAATAATGAAGCAAGCCCTTCTAGCTTGACTTATATGTTTGTTTTGTTTTGTTTTGTTTTGACTTATATGTTTGGATAAGCAAGTGTTTTTCTTCTTGGAAGAATTAGTAGAATTTTTGCTACTGCTCTGGCTTTAGCCAGCAGATCAGAGCTTGGAATGGATACCATTTCAGTTGGACCTTAGAAGCAGCAGAAGTGGAGGTTCCAATGCAGGTTTTAAATAAAGTAAAATTAATTTGACAGATGCCCTTAAGCTATTCTGCTCTCTGAACTATAGCAGCCAATTGGCTTTGTAGGCAATTGGCCTGCATGAACTAGTTCTCTAATGTCAGGGTCTGATTTTGTTTTATGTTATGGGTTTCCAAGAAGAAAGAATATGTTGAGAGAGCAGAATAGTAACTTTGGAGGTGGTAACAATGTACAAGGCAAGCACTAAATTGTGCTGCCCATTGCTGAGCAGAAAGGCCATTCGGTTGGTGTGTGAAAATAACCAGCAAAGAGTTAGAGAACTGGAAGGAAAGTAGTATTCTCAAGAAGCAGCCAACAGTAAGGCTAAGAAATGATGAAGAAAATGATCTAAGTGGTAACAAACAGGAAAAAAAAATTGGTATAGAAAAGCTGTACTATCAGTCAGTAGAAGGTTTTGCAAGGGAAAGTTGGATATCAGGGTTAAATAACTGGGTTATAAATTAAAAGTAATGTAGGTAACTTGTTGCTGTGTAACAAGTCATTCTTGAACTTTCAGGCCCACACAAATCACCTGAGAATCTTACTAAAGTCCAGATTCTTGTTCTGGAGGTCTGTAGAAGCCCCAAGATGTTGAGCCTTTTACAAATCCCCCACAGGATGCCAGTGCTGCTGGTCTTTGGATGATGATTTTGGCAGCAGTGCTTTGGCCAGATGACCGGTAGGCTTACCCTGGACAAAAGCAAAATGAGAAGGTTGGTTGCATCTTTTCTGAGCGCTAAGCTTGATGGTCAAGCACTGATAATACTCTGCCAGGATGGCTGCTTGCATGTATATTACATTAGAACTCTCAGTGATTTGTGAGCTACTGGAGAGAAAAAGTCATGTGGAATTTAAAAACTTTTCATTATTTTTAAAAATATGTTTGATTCAATGAAGATTCCAAACAAATATCTCTTTTTTAGATTAATCCATTTGTTTGTGCCTTTTATCTAAAGGGAAAATATATTTGATATATTTGATAATGAGTTGATTGTATTAAGTAATAAGCTTCATAATAATGCAGTTTGCATTTTTAAACAATTTCAACTTGCTCATTATTTTGAATTAATATAATGCCACTTCTAGTGATTTGTTTTTATTTTTATATTTGTTATAGCCACTTATCACGATTTTAATTATACCAAATTTAATTTAATAACATTTTCCAAATATACTTTATTATTATTCAAGGCAGAAGTATTCCATGAAATAAATTATATGAGGAAGTAGTATGATGTATAATCTCATATTTCAAAATATCTGTATATGTGCAGATTATGAAACTGTATATAGCTATTGTTTATCTTATATAAATTTATATATTTGCCCAATATAGAATTTCTAATAACTACAATTACTGATAATATTGACTAATTTACTCTTCTAAACCAAATAAAATATGCATCAACTTATCTACAAATAAGTGTTGAATGAGTGTATACCTGATCCCACATATTTTCTTTTATTCTATGTTTTTGTCGGGGTTATATTCAATTCCATTTAATAGGCAAATATTTGCTGCACAACTATTATTGCCAAGGCATTATATATTATGTTCTGTGACGACAATAGTGAGTTAATGGTGTTATTCACATTAGAATACATAGAGGCAGTGGATCTACAAGTGCATACCTTTCTATCTAAGAAGTATAAAAGCAGAACAAAGCAACACTGCAGAGAATTAAGATGATATTCAAATTTATTATTTTTGTAGAGTCCTCAAGAAGAAATTTCTGGATTTGAGCTGAACCTTGAAAATTAAATAAGGTGTATGTGAAAAAAATTGTCATACTGAGAAAAAAAAAACATAGGCAAGACCACAGACATGTAAATGTAGTGTACACAATAATTTATACAAGCAGCCTGGTGAGCCTGGAAAGGGGAGAGGTAGCCAGAATAGAAGTTTAGAGGCACAAATATATTGGTGCATTGAGACAATATCAGTATGGCTCCTGTTCAGATGATATATAAACCCTGGATTATTAATGTGAAAGTAAATGAAAACAGAGACCAAGTCTAAAGAATCACTCAGCAGACAAACCTAGCTAGGCCCCATAAGTGACATTAACTTTGGCTTGGTTTGAAAACAAAAGAGAAACTTAACTTGAGTTTCTTTAAATAAATGTTTATATCAAAGAAAAGCAAAACTTAAACTCATTCAGCCTTGCATTCCAGGGATGAAGCCCACTTGATCAGGTGGATAAGCTTTTTGATGTGCTGCTGGATTCAGTTGGCCAGTATTTTATTGGGGATTTTTGCATCGATGTTCATCAGGGATATTGGTCTAAAATTCTCTTTTTTTGTTGTGTCTCTTCCAGGCTTTGGTATCAGGATGATGCTGGTCTCATAAAATGAGTTAGGGAGGATGCCCTCTTTTTCTATTGATTGGAATAGTTTCAGAAGGAATGGTACCAGCTCCTCCTTGTACCTCTGGTAGAATTCAGCTGTGAATCCATCTGGTCCTGGACTTTTTTTGGTTGGTAGGCTATTAATTATTGGCTCCATTTCAGAGCCTGTTATTGGTCTATTCAGAGATTCAACTTCTTCCTGATTTAGTCTTGGGAGAGTGTATATGGGTCCAGGAATTTATCCATTTCTTCTAGATTTTCTAGTTTATTTGCGTAGAGGTGTTCATAGTATTCTCTGATGGTAGTTTGTATTTCTGTGGGACCGATGGTGATATCCCCTTTAATATTTTTTATTGCATCTATTTGATTCTTCTCTCTTTTCTTCTTTATTAGTCTTGCTAGTGGTCTATCAATTTTGTTGATATTTTAGAAAAACCAGCTCCTGGATTCACTGATTTTTTGAAGGGTTGTTTGTGTCTCTATCTCCTTCAGTTCTTCTCTGATCTTAGTTATTTCTTGCCTTCTGCTAGCTTTTGAATGTGTTTGCTCTTGCTTCTCTAGTTCTTTTAATTGTGATGTTAGGGTGTCAAGTTTAGATCTTTCCTGCTTTCTCTTGTGGGCATTTAGTGCTATAAATTTCCCTCTACACACTGCTTTAAATGTGTCCCAGAGATTCTGATTATCTCAATAGATGCAGAAAAGGGCTTCAACAAAATTCAACAGCCATTCATGCTAAAAACCTCTCAATAAATTAGGTATTGATGAGACATATCTCAAAATAATAAGAGCTATTTATGACAAACCCACAGCCAATATCATACTGAATGGGCAAAAACTGCAAGCATTCCCTTTGAAAACTGGCACAAGACAGGGATGCCCTCTCTCACCACTCCTATTTAATATAGGGTTGGAAGTTCTGGCCAGGGCAATCAGGCAGGAGAAGGAAATAAAGGGTATTTAATTAGGAAAAGAGGAAGTCAAATTGTCCCTGTTTGCAGATGACTTGATTGTATATTTAGAAAACCCCATCATCTCAGCCCAAAATCTCCTTAAGCTGATAAGTAGCTTCAGGAAAGTCTCAGGATACAAAATCAATGTGCAAAAATCACAAGCATTCTTATACACAAATAATAGACAAACAGAGAACCAAATCATGAGTGAATTCCCATTCACAATCGCTTCAAAGAGAATAAAATACCTAGGAATCCAACTTACAAGGGATGTGAAGGGCCTCTTCAAGGAGAACTACAAACCACTGCTCAACGAAATAAAAGAGGATACAAACAAATGGAAGAACATTCCATGCTCATGAACAGGAAGAATCAATATCATGAAAATGGCCATACTGCCCAAGGTAATTTACAGATTCAATGCCATCCCCACGAAGCTACCAATGACTTTCTTCACAGAATTGGAAAAAACTACTTTAAAGTTCATATGAAACCAAAATTGCCAAGACAATCCTAAGCCAAAAGAACAAAGCTGGAGGCATCATGCTAACTGACTTCAAACTATACTACAAGGCTACAGTAACCAAAACAGCATGATACCAGTACTAAAACAGAGATATAGACCAATGGAACAGAACAGAGCCCTCAGAAATAATACCACACATGTACAACCATCTGATCTTTGAAAAACCTAACAAAAACAAGAAATAGGGAAAAGATTCCCTATTTAATAAATGGTGCTGGGAAAACAGGCTAGCCATATGTAGAAAGCTGAAACTGGATCCCTTCCTTACACCTTTTATAAAAATTAATTCAAGATGGATTAAAGACTTAAAGGTTAGATCTAAAACCATAAAAACCCTAGAAGAAAACCTAGGCAATACCATTCAGGACATAGGCATGGGCAAGGACTTCATGTCTGAAACACCAAAAGCAATGGCAACAAAAGCCAAAATTGACAAATGGGATCTAATTAAACTAAAGAGCTTCTGCACAGCAAAAGAAACTACCATCAGAGTGAAAAGGCAACCTACAGAATGGGAGAAAATTTTTGCAATCTACTCATCTGATAAAGGGCTAATATCTACAAAGAACTCAAACAAATTTACAAGAAAAAAACAAACAATCCCATCAAAAAGTGGGCGAAGGATATGAACAGACACTTCTCAAAAGAAGACATTTATGCAGCCAACAGACACATGAAAAAATGCTCATCAACACTGGCCATCAGAGAAATGCAAATCAAAACCACAATGAGATACCATCTCACACCAGTTAGAATGGTGATCATTAAAAAGTCAGGAAACAACAGGTTCTGGTGAGGATGGGGAGAAATAGGAACACGTTTACACTGTTGGTGGAACTGTAAACTAGTTCAACCACTGTGGAAGACATATGTAACAAACCTTCACGTTGTGCACATGTACCCTAGAACTTAAAGTATTATAATAATAATAATAATAACTTAAACTTATCCAATCAAAAGCAGCCAACAAACTTATAATTTTATAACTAGGAACTTTCCAGTGGGGTAGACCACATAAGGCAACAGTATAACTGCAACCAGTCAAATACATTCTGTGTTTTACTTCCACATTTGCACCATAAAACGCTGTCCATTAATTAGGCTTCTTTTTCCAAGCTCCTGATCCACCTCTGTTTTGAAGCTGCATAATTTATGAATCACTGGTTGCTCAAATAAAGCTCTAAAAGTTTAATAGTGATTCAGTTTACCTTTTTAACTGTTATAAAGACAGAAGGTCAGGTGTGTTGACACTGACCATTATTAGATAATGACAGTTATTATTAAAATGCTAATGTGAAATTTTCCATGCAATTATTATAATATTCACAACCATATGAGATACA
Source organism: Homo sapiens (assembly GCF_000001405.40). Taxonomy (NCBI): domain Eukaryota; kingdom Metazoa; phylum Chordata; class Mammalia; order Primates; family Hominidae; genus Homo; species Homo sapiens. The sequence continues at coordinate 25,936,477 of NC_000005.10, read as the reverse complement.
TAATATCAGAAATAACTGAATTTCAAGACTAGCATGTCATATAAAGCAGTCTATTTATTTGTTATACTCTTTTATCCATAAGAATTTCTTATTATTATGAATTTACAGCATCACTTAGTCATTTTAGGAGATATAGAAATAAATATAGATATGGATATCAATAAAGATATATAGATATAGATATAGAAAATCAACCCCAGTTGATTTTGTTTCATCGGTTACAATGATTAACATGAAAGTATGGGATTTTGGTGAGTCTTATTCTAATCATCCTTATCTGGGAGAAAACAGAGTGAGTGATCTCTTTAGGGCTGGATCTAGTACAGAAAGTGTCATGACATTAGAACCCACTTGATTTAAAGAACTGTGCAGGGATTTTAATGGCTCTGTATGTATATAACATATATATATATATATGCATTTATGCAGCCAACAGACACATGAAAAAATGCTCATCATCACTGGCCATCAGAGAAATGCAAATCAAAACCACAATGAGATACCATCTCACACCAGTTAGAATGGTGATCATTAAAAAGTCAGGAAACAACAGGCGCTGGAGAGGATGTGGAGAAATAGGAACACTTTTACACTGTTGGTGGGATTGTAAACTAGTTCAACCATTGTGGAAGGCAGTGTGGCAATTCCTCAGGGATCTAGAACTAGAAATACCATTTGACTCAGCAATCCCATTACTGGATATATACCCAAAGGATTATAAATCATGCTGCTGTAAAGACACATGCACACGTATGTTTATTGTGGCACTATTCACAATAGCAAAGACTTGGAACCAACCCAAATGTCCATCAGTGATAGACTAGATTGAGAAAATGTGGCACATATACACCATGGAATACTATGCAGCCATAAAAAACGATGAGTTCATGTCCTTTGTAGGGACATGGATGAAGCTGGAAACCATCATTCTGAGCAAACTATTGCAAGGACAAAAAACCAAACACCACACGTTCTCATTCATAGGTGGGAATGGAATAATGAGAACACAGGGACACAGGAAGGGGAACATCACACACTGGGGCCTGTTGTGGGGTGGGGGGAGGGGGGAGGGATAGCATTTGGAGATATACCTAATGTTAAATGACGAATTACTGGGTGCAGCACACCAACATGGCACATGTATACGTATGTAACTATGCTGCACGTTGCGCACATGTACACTAAAACTTAAAGTATAATAAAAAAAAAACTATTGATTCAATTGATGAAAAAAGTGAACCAAAGACAACAATTCTCAACAGTGGTAACCAAGAAATTAGTGTGTATTAATGCATCTGATAAGATTTCCCTAATGATTCCTCTATGATTAAGTGAACGTTGTAATTTTTTTTTCTGCAGTATATAAAGAACTCTAATAAATAAATTTCAAAAGAAAAGTAAGATAATAGTATATTAGGTAACAAATATGACAGACAATTGAGAACTGAAGAAAACTAAATATTCAATAAAGTTACCAAAAGATGTTCAACCTCACTGGTAATCAGGGTAATAATATTCAACACTAAGATGTTCTATTTCATAAATATGGCAAATTTTTAATGTTTATTTATTCGTAAGGATATGGGAAAATGAAATATACTTGTATGCTAGTTGTTAAAAAAGAAAAAAATTGGTGGCAAATTGTGATAAATTATATCATACTTATGTGAATACCATAAAAGAACAAACCTACCAGCAAAATGCCCTGTGAAAATATTTAACACATTCACTCAAGGTGTTATATTTAAGAATATGTATCTGAAGATTACTGTAATTGAGAACATGTGTAAATCACCTAAACTGTTTATAAAATAAGATATTAGATATATATTGTGATATATGCATGTAAATGAATTAAATGAATGAATGATAGTTATATGTATCAGCATGGATACATTTTACATGTACGTGTACATGTAGGTCTGTGTTTGTGTATGTGCATACATACAGAGTAGACAAATGACTTTGTTAAGAAGGCTTTATATATTAAACTTATAAAATAATTCAGGAGAGCGATATTGCCTAGTGATTACAGAGTGTTAAATCTGTCAAGGGGCATAGCAATGGGATTAAGAAAGCCACAGGAGATTGAAGTTTATCTATAATATTTTATTTTTAAGTGAAGCAAATATTGAAAAACATTCATTTTGTCTTTTATTAGATTTTCTATGTTTTACATATGTCTTTTATTAGACAAAATGTCTTTTATTAGATTTTCTATGTTTTACATATACGTAATAAAATAGACTTTGAAAACTGTGGGCAGATTTTAGATAGTTCTGGAATAAATTAATGATCAATATCATTCCTGTTACTTGGCAGGAGCCTGTGGATTGAGCACAACTATTCTCAGAGGGCCTAGTCCAGCAACATTGATGTTATGGTTAAAAGAAGGTTAACTGGGTATTGGGATTTCCTATTTACATTTCTCTGATCTATTCTATAGTGAAATTAAATGAAAATTTTTACTGAAACTTAAACTCCTCAGGGTGAAGATTTTTGTCTGTTGTGTTTACTTCTGTGTCACCAGTACGTATCTAAACATTTTCTGACTCATAGATATCCCTCATATATTTGCTGAATATAAAAATGCCTTATAGCAGGAGCAAACTATTTTAATTTGCAAGGTTAGGGATTATTAAATATTAATCTATACATGTTATTTTTAATAGTATAAGAAAAAATATAAATAAAATAAGCTCCAAGCAAAAATATTTGCTATAGCAAGTTTCTTGATGATCAAGTATTATTTCTGTTTACTTTTAGTCACAATAGTAGTCTAGACCATCACTCATAAAGACAATAGGTGAATAGAATTAGAATAATAAGGGCATCCTTAGATAACCAGAGTTTCTCAAGGGTATGTGACAATGAGTTGCTTGTTCAGATTTGCATCTCAGTGAGCAGAAGGTGGAGTTTCAAGGGGATTGTCCAGCTTCCACCACACCTCACCAAGGTAAATAAAGACAATAAATGTTTGAAACAAATCCTGTAACAAACTCCATGCCATGTTTGAAGTAATATAATTGTGGCCAGTAAATATTTCAGTAGTTTCCATTAGCAAGACATTCCAAACTGTAGAAGCAACTTCTTGAAGACATGTATAACTTCATCCCTGTTCAAAGACAATAGAAAATGTCCAAATAAAGAATCCACCCTTAGGAATCCAGATCTATCCATGAGATTCTCATATAAATATCAGCAATAACGAGCTGTTAAAAATATGCTAAGCAGAAAATTTATAGGCTGGATAAATATGTAATCTACCATCAAAAAGGAGATAGTAAAAACACATTAAAATTATGTAATTTTTGAAATATTTATTTATTGGCCAATAGAAACTGGCCCAATTGTTTCATAGAAATTAATGAGTTTTTGAATACACATGGAAATTGACCCTCCTGGTTTTAAAACTTGAAATTTACATTTGCTTTACCTGAGTTTCTCCCTCAGGAAATTGACCATGAAACAAGGGACTGAAACTCAACAGATCACTGCCTGCAGAAAATGAGACATCAGACCTTCTCATGTATCATGATTGCTTCCTTACTCCTCCTAATTCCTGTTTTACATTCCTCGCCCACTATATAAACCTTCAATTTTAGTAGGTAGGGGAGACAGATTTGAGACTAATCTGTTCTCACTGACTACAGCACCTGAATAAAGCCGTCTTTCCTGACGATACTCATCATCTCAGAGATTGGCTTTCTTTGCGGCAAGCAAAAGCACCAACACCAAATCTCTGATGTTTTGGTTACAAAACTGGTTGTATAGAAGTTGATATAGACGTTTTCAAAAATGATATTACAAAATCAAGTTCACTCTAAAAAAGTAACGTATTCATATAAAGTTAAGTATATTATATCTAAACAGAAAAATACACACTAAAATTATTTCTCATACGTATTCCCATTTTTTAATCAGTTTCTTAACTATAGTTGTCTTTAAAACTATGTCCCTGACACTTTTCTGAATAACACCTTTTTTTTTCCCTAACCATAGTCTTTTTTTTTTTTTTTTTTTTTTCCAAGAGGGAGTCTTGCTCTGTAGCCAAGGCCGGAGTGCAGTGGTGCAATCTTGGCTCACTGCAACCTCCACCTCCTGGGTCCTGGTTTAAGCAATTCTCCTGCCTCAGCCTCCTGCGTAGCTGGGATTACAGGCATGTGCCACCACGCCCAGCTAATTTTTATATTTTTCTTAGAGACGGGGTTTCACCATGTTGGCCAGGCTGGTCTTGAACTCCTGACCTTGTGATCCACCCGCCTCGGCCTCCCAAAGTGCTGGGATTACAGGCGTGAGAAACTGTGCCCAGCCAGTCTTTTATTTTTTTCAGCAAATATTTGTGGGGTAATCATGAGTCAGAAAAAATGTTTGTAATCTGCTTCAGTGTAGAATTCTAAGATTAATACATTTGAAAATATTAATACCTCTGAAAACTAATATACTTTTGACTGAATCTTACATTTGGACTATAATTTTTTAATTAAGAAAATGTTCTATACCTTTTCTACACTGACATAGTAGGATGGCTTCTTTCTCTCTCTCTCTCTTTCTCCTCAGATATGGAAATATTGATTTAGACGCTTTGTTGTGTTTTCTCTGGCTGTCCCAATACCATGTGAATTAAAGACAAGCATCCTTTTGTAGACCCAACACGACAAGATATATTATGGAAAATCTCACCTCACACTGGGAGTAGGGACACCTGTTACTCTCATGTCGGGTTTCATGAATAGTCAAGTCTTCAGCTTGAAAAACTGGGGCAGAGGAAGAAGCCTTAGCTCTTCTTATTTATTCACATTAAGTGACTGCTCTTAGATGAGTCTGTGCAGCCATTACACTGGGTCTCATGAGCAAGGTATGAATTGGGCAGTCTGGGTTTCAATACAGGAGTTACATTTACTTTTCTTTTGTTACTCTCAATGCACTTGTTCATTCTCCTTTAAAGGTTGTTGTTTTTTTTTTTTTTTTTTTTTTTTTTCATTTGGAATGATATTTTTCCCCTGGATTTAAGAAGTTCTTAACCGCACAACATCTGAACTGATTTATTTATTTTACCATTCTTTTTTTATATCAACCCAAAAGCCCAAAATATCTTTCTAGGACTAAAAGCTTTATGTATCTGGGATCAAAAACTAGCACAACTCAAATCGTCTCCTGCAAACCTCAGCACACACAAATCTCTAGGACCAGACCAGTTGAACACCAAATGTTGCTGAGCCTTATGGGTTTGAATTTACTTTAACTCTCTGGATGTGGTGTCTTAGACTCCTAGTAACTCCAGGGAAACCCTAGCCCATCTGCACTTGACAGCCTATCTAGTTCTTCCTCTCAATCTAGGATTTTCCCCATATTCCAAGCAATTGTATTTGGAATTATATCATTTTGGCGTATGAACTTTCCCCCTATTGAAAAATGTTCTATTTTGTATCTGTCTAACACATTCAACATCATATATTTGAATGGAAAAGTTCATTAAGACAGTCATGCAAATAAGAAAAATGGTCTCTTTTAAAGTCACAGCTCCTCGTTTTAATTTATAATCACCGAATTCCTTGAACAGTTCTATGATTATAATCACACGAAGTCAACAATCACACACAGTCAGTAAGCATCTATTTATCTTGACTAATAATTTCCGATACATATATTTTTATGTTCATGTATTTTTGGGCTTATTTCAGATTTGTCTGTTATTAATGAAGCACCAGTGCAATTTCCTTTCAACATAAGAAACTATTTCCAAATGTCCTTTTATATATGACTCAGGGTTAGAATTTGCAAGGACAGAAACTGTCATCAACTTGGAAGGTGGAAAGGAGGCAAAAGGCATTACTCTTTGGAGCTGGTGATGTGCAGAGACAATGGCATTAGGACCTCCCCACTAGTTTTGATTTTCCACCTTGCAACCACTTTCCACTTCGGAGAGACTTTGCAGACTCCTCGTCAAACTTACTTCAAAAAGCTTTGGCTCATTTTGTTCAAGATTCATTTCTCTCTGTTCTAGTTCTCCACTGCTCTAACTAGCCCACCGCAGTGTTTCAAACTTCACTCCACTAGTCTCCACTGCATCCATGGATGCCCTAATTCTGAACCTATATCCACCTTCTTTTCATGCCTACAATGACTCTGTTTTTCTGATTGAACTTAGGAAGACCATATGTTGATTGTGCCACTGGTTGGCAGTGAACTTGAATTCTCTTTATTCTAAGAATTCTGGTTGTTGGGCAAAGTTTGAATTTATACTGGTAACCTAATCAATAGAGGTTTCTGTGTTTGTCCTTCCCAAAGACATAGATAACTAATTAATAACAACTCCAATCAAAGAAGGAATTTCAATATATCTGTACTTTAATGATAAATTTTAAATATGTTTCCTGTTATATATAATCACCTCCTGGATATGAAAATTTGAAAATAAGTATTTACCAAAATGATCAGTCCTTTTTAAATTTACAAATTGTGAATAACTTTTAAATCAAAACCTTACGAAAGTCTAATTGGAAAAAAATTTTTAATTTCTTCTAAACCATAACCAAATATTCAACAAATATTTATTGGGATTCTTCTAAGAGCAAAGCATTACAGAAAAATATTGTGAATATGAAACATGTCAGGTCTACTCTTTAGAACAATCTGTTCATTGGATGAGAACATTTCTGAACAAATAATTATAATATCAAACATAATTCTTATAGAAGTTGAGAATTTATTTCTAATTATTATTATTATTTATGTATGTGTGTAAGTCATTGCCAACAAGTATATATGTGTGTGTGTGTGTGTGTGTGTGTGTGTGTGTGTGTGAAGCTAATTATGCCAGTCCCAGTTCACCATCCTCGGTTATTTCACACTGGGCTTCAACAGATCTAAATAATGGTGAGTTGATGAGGTATATATTTTTCAGACTTTTAAAATAGCAACATTAAAATAATTTTATATATAAGACAATGCTCCAATCACTTGAAACAGAAAGAGTTGTCAAAACTGCCAAAAATTGACCAAGCTAAAAACAATTTTCTGTAAGATATTATAATGTAATTATTCAGGATAGATGATCTAATTTATACCTGGAATACTTAGCAGAATACAGTATAACCTTCCAGAATTTATTCAACTGGAGGCAACCAAGCAACAAATTCATCTAATCTTAGTTTGTATTTTTGGAGTTTACTGCAATTTTGATGAAATTTTGCTTAGAATGGAAAGAAATTCATAACAATAACATTAATTGGATATCTACTAATTATTGTGAATAATGAAAAGTATTTGGTTGCTTTTTAACTTTGGAAAATTTGTGATATCAAATCATTTTAAAGAGCACATGTAAATGTAAGATTTCTAAAGAATGCACTTTCCCAACTGCTCAAAGTTTTTCAACAATCTTGGTGTGCTAATTATCTAATTAACTGGGATACACAGTCCAATTAGAATTCTGAAGTTCATTGTGTATGTATAATTATTTTTATAATCATTAACTTGGCTTAATCACCTTTAACACTAGCTTTGTAGGTCCTTAAATAATTAGTTTTACTAGCTAATTACTGAATGTAGGAAATTTTGATTTTCATTAAGATCTAATAACATTTATTGTCATCTGGGTAGGAATGTGAGAACATTGTATACATGACACTAGATAAAGTTCACTAAAGGACAACGTTTGTTGAACTCAGAAATACTATAATATAATTGATCTATAAGGACACATATACATGCAGAGAAAGTAAGCTATTAACCTGTAATAGAATATTTGATTTTATCTACACATAAGCTCTCCTTCTAGATAAATTAGGTAATGCTGAAAATGTCAATTTTGCGGTTTTAACTAAAATGCTTTTTAAAAAAGCAATTAAACCATTAAAGAAAAAACTGACCAATGAGATTTGTTTGTATAAGTTTTTATTAGTTTTTCTTTCCATTTTGTCTCTTGCCCATTATCTTCAAATTTGTTATTTTCTATTTTCCCATTGTAAAGCCAATACAGAATATTGTTAGCTTCTAATATCAGTTAGAACAGTTTCTCTTTGCAATATGCTATTCACTTTAAAAAGTCAGATCCTGAAAGTCATTTACTTTGGCAAAGTATACTCATTATAAATTTTGGAACCAAGTTCAAGAGATATTTATTCCCTTTGGATTATTATTTGGATGTAATACATCGATTTGGTCCCCAAAGATAAACAAAATATTTACATATTTATGAAAAATAAGTAGTCAAATATATTTGAAATTATGCATTTGAATACCCAATGGCATACACACTATAATTTATATTTATAACTTTAGAAATGTTGCCATCTGTCTTACAAACAGCAAGAGACCAGCCTAAAATACAGCCAGTGTGATTTGTTTATATTAAATTTTATTGTTTGTACATTAAAATAGAAAATATTTCATATAAATTGTCCAAACCATTAGGGGATTTAAAAATATATTGCCTTTCCCATGATCATTTTTGTTTTAACCATGAAAAAAGTTGTCATTATGGAGAAGAGTCTAATAAATACTGAATATATTTACTAATGTCAAACAATAAAATATCACAACAATTAACAACCAACAACTTATAGGGTAGAATACAAATAAGGAAGAGAAACATTCAAACTAACACTGGTTGATAGACAATATTTCTCTCCTTTTTCCCCCTTAAAATGGGACTGATGCTCAGAAAAAAAATTAAACAATTGGCCCAAGATCAAATGGCTCTACCTCCTGACAATTTGTGGCAGTTCTCTTTAATTCGGAATCTTGTTGCATTTCTACTGTGTTATATGGCTTCTCTCTCTAAGCAACTATCCAGAGAACAAAATATAAAACATTGTTTCTTTCTTCAAAGAAGAGTTGTCATCTTATTAGTAAAATTAAATGAAGAAAAAATGACCAAAATAAGAATTGAAAAGATGTACAAACCATATTCGTTAATTCAAGTATAGACACACACAACTTTTGGCAATTCATATGAATTACGTGAAATTTACATATTTCAAGCCATCTATTCTACATAGTCCAGTTTAATCTTAATTCAGATGAAAATAATTTAAAGAGTGGAAAATTATTATGTTAATTTAGTTCCTGCTGTACAGATGTGCCAACTCCTAGTAACTCCTAGGTTTCACAAAGACTCAATAGCCAATTATATTTGCTCAAATTCGTCTTTTGCTTGTGAGGCATTCACACATCATAAATCATGTAATTAATACTCAGCTCACAGGCATTAATTAATGGAGGGTAATGAACAACAGAGATGGCTTCAGAGACCAATGCCCCCACAGACAAGTCAACTGGGTCCAAAAGTCCTTTGAACCCTGGGGTAAGGCCACTGCTTTTCTTGAGCTGAGTAAAGCAGTATCCACCAAAGTCAGAAGAAGACCTCCAAAAGTGTCTTGCTCAAGGCTGGGTCTTGGCTGTTTTATAATCCTCTGTAGATGTGTCTATTCTCATGATCTCATTATCTCATCCTCTCATCCACCTTTCACTTTCTATTTCTTAGTTTTGGGTCTCTTACTAAATACAATATACCTTTCAATCTGTTTAAAATTCTGTACCATATATGTTTATCACTTTGAGTGGGGAGCAGCCTCACTGTAGGCTTAGCACCACTTGATGTGAGTGACTCCATTTTGAGACATTAAGGTCAATGATTATGATGATATATCAGAAATGTGTTGGAAAGATCTACCTACTTGGAATGAATTATTACAGAGTTGCTGTCTATTAATTGATGTAGGATACTCATATTGTTTGGCTCTGTGCCCCCACCCAAATCTCATCTCGAATTGTAATCCCCACATATTGAGGGAGGGTCCTGATGGGAGGTGATTAAATCATGGGTGCAGTTTCCTTCATAATGCGTTCATTATCATGAGGGCTTTCTCACAAGAGCTGATGATTTTAAAGTATGGCACTTCCTCACACATTCTCTCTCTCTCTTTCCTGCTGCCTTGTGAAGAAGGTGCTTGCTTCTCATTCACACCTTTCCCCATGATTGTAAGTTTCCTGAGCTCCCCCGCTCCCCAGCCATGTGGAACTGTGATTCAATTAAATCTCTCTTGTTTATAGATTACCCAGTCTCAGGTCGTATCTTTATAGCATACAGATACACACACACACACAAAATTATAAGTTGTTGTGTGAAAAACCACATAATAAGTAAAACAGGTAATGTATGCCTATGGTGCAGAATTTTAAATGGATTGAAAAGTACATTGTATTTAATAAGATTATGAACACTTTAGTTGCTCAGCCATTCTGTTCCCCTCTGCAATGGCAATCACCCATTTTTAGCACTTATTTAACTATTGTTCAAGAAATACCTAAGCATATATTATTTATTTTAAAATCTGATATCATATAACCCATTTTTCATGTAGCTTTTTTACTTAAAAATATTTTATGTAAATGATTTTCAGTTGCTACAGAACATTCCTTTGCATGGAATTTTGGTAGTTTTTAAATTTATCCCTTACAGATACATAAATGATATTTTTCACACTAGGTATTTTTCATTTATTGATATAAGTAATATTTTACTAAATATTATTATACCCAGGTCATATCACCTTTGTCCAAGTATAACTGTAGGGGAAAAATCTGTGTATAAAATGGTTGCATCAAAGAATATATTACACTGATTGCTTTGGTTTCTCTTATACTTCACCATCTCTTGTATCCATGTCTTTTCATGTGTGATTTCCTAATTAATCTCAGTGATGGGGCAGGGTTTGTTTCCCCATCCTTGATTCTGAGTTCAGCCCTGTAATTGTTTGTGGGTCATGCAATGTTGGAGGGCGGGATGCAAACAGAGGCTTGAAAGTCGCTTTCAAGTTTGAGTTTGCTTGCTTTTGTAAGGAACCACCCTAAGTCACTGACCTATAGTCTTGTGAGAGCTCAAAGCTAATTGTATTTAATTCCTTGACCTCTGGGGTGGTTTGTTAAATAGCATTACTATGGCAATAGATAACTGATATAAATGTATGTGTTTTAAATTTTAATAGACATTGGGTTATTGACAAGTGATACCAGATTTTACTCAATCCAGTAATATATCATAAAGCAAAGTAATATATCATGTAATTGATTGTTTTCTGCCAATGTAATAGATGAAAAATAGTGTTCCCTTATAGTTTGTATCTCTCATGTTATAAGTGAGGTTGGTCACTTTTTTGCAAAGTTAGAAAATAAAATATTGGCAATTTAACTGAAAGCCCACGAATACCTCCTGATTACATTGCCATTTTTCTCCACCTGACCTGATCATCATTCTAAATTTGGTGTTCATCACTACACATAAATATAAAATATTCAGATAAAAACACTAAATTTAGGTAGTATTTTCTAGATATATCCATTCTTTTTTTTTTTTTTTTCATTTACAATCTGGTACTCTTCTGTATTTGAGAATGCCTTTTTATTATGTATCCAATTTTAACATACATTAAAATTTTTATCCAATTTATTTCTCTCTCTGTAATTTGGGTGATTATTTTAGCCCAATAATCATTATTTTGAATACTAACTTATCTTGATATAATCAGAATCATTTATGTACTAATTATCTAAGTCTACTTTTTAATTTTTTTTTTTTTTTTTTTTTTTTTGAGACAGAGTCTCGCTCTGTCACCCAGGCTGGAGTGCAGTGGCGCAATCTTGGCTCACTGCAAGCTCCATCTCCTGGGTTCACGCCATTCTTCTGCCTCGGCCTCCCGAGTAGCTGGGACTACAGGTGTCTGCCACCACGCCTGGCTAATTTTTTTTTGTATTTTCAGTAAAGATGGGGTTTCACCCTGTTTGCCAGGATGGTCTCGATCTCCTGACCTCATGATCTGCCCGCTACGGCCTCCCAAAATGTTGGGATTATATGCGTGAGCCACTGCGCCCGGCCTTTCATTATTATTTAATTAAGTTCTGTATTTCTTTTCTTCTGCTGTCTTAAAGTAACTATAATTCTCTTAATATTTTCCTTAATCATTTTAAATAAATTTAATTGCAATAATTAATTTTACTAAAGAAAAAGAAAACCAGAAAATACTAACTTTGACCAATCATCTTCTGTCCTACGTTTTGCTAACAATCAGCACTTTAGTTCTATGATTCTTTTACTCAGTTTTCAAATAAAAATAATGATTATTACCATTAGGTGGCCACACTCTGCTTAGAATTATCAACATATTAGTCAATATTTTATCTATTTTTACTTTACATCTCAGAACAATTTATATGGCATAATATTTATTATTTCCAAAATACTGTTTCAAAAATTTTCTTAGTGAGCTAGCTCTGCTCTGGTAAAATGTCTTTGTGTTTTTCTGCAAATAATTTGGATTTGCTTAATTCCAAAAGGATGAGAATACAATTCTAGATTGACAGTTACTTTCCAGTTGCTTCAGTTTAGCCTTTTAATTATATAAATTCCACAATTCAGATTCTCATATTTTGCTGTTGAAAAATTAGAGTTCATGCTACTTGTTAAAATATTTCTTTAGACCAGAAGTTGGCTAATTATAGCCCACATGCCTGTTTTTGTAAATAGAGTTTTTCAGGACACAGCCACATGCACTCATTTATGTGTTATCAATCACTGCTTTAGGAGTATGGACAAGACAAAGTGTAGTTCACAAGATGTTTACTGCCTGGCCTTTTAAAAAAAGTTTGCAAACTGCTGAAGAGTTTTTATTTCAGCCATCAACTTAAAAAAATTGATCATTGATTATTTTGACTACGTGTGTGTGTGTGTGTGAATTTTATTTTCTATATCTGAAGATTCATTCTTCCAACAACTTTAGGAAATTCTCAATGTCTACTCAGGCATTATCTGTTCAAATATCTTTGTTCTTGTATTTTCACTTCTCTTCTCGAATTGCAATTTGATTGGTATTAGACTATCTTCTCCCTAATGTGACTATTAAAGTTGTTAATAGTATTTTCCATCTTTTTGTAACCTTATTCTGTCTTCTGTTTAGTCTCTTTATTAATTCACTCTTCTGCTCTGTCCTATGTACAAATTCATTAACCTAACAAGTTTAAAGGAACATTAACAAGTTTTTAAAAATGAGTCACATGTCAGGAATTATTCTAGATTGTTTATTTGTTTATATCCTAGAGTGGGAGGTTGAAAGTATGCATAAAATTATTTAATATCTGAAAAATTCTTGGGACTATAACACAGATTAAATTCACACACACATACATATATATGAATACATATAAATATGTATAACACATAGGTTAAATTCACATATAATCCCATATAGTTCAAATGTATAACTTATATCTGTGAAAAAATTATATATTTTGTGTATATATGCTTTTTTCACGTGTGTATGTGTGCATGTGTGAATTTAATCTATATTATAGTCTCAAGGTAAAATTTGCAAGCATTCTTGGCTCTGGGCTAGGTAGAATAATGACTAGCTCCTCTTTTATAAGGTCAATGGTGGTTTTCATTCTGGAAGATGTTACCTGAAAAAATACTGATTGGCAGGAGAATAGGAGTTGATACCAGTTGAGTGAGGCACAGTAGCGGAGCTATACTCTGTATCAGAATGTTTATCTTGGACAACATACTGAATATGTCTAAGTTTTAGTGTCTGCCTCTTTAACCCTCCTTCATGATTGTTTTGGATAGCCAAATGAAACAATTCACTCAAGTTCTTAATAAACAGCAGCTATCACTTTATATTTTAAATTATAGATTTGATTAATAGACTTTAGAGTAAAATATACCTACGTTGATACTTTGCACTAAAATTTATTCTTTTTGTGAATTTTGCAGCTGTTACTTGATTTCTGCTTTGAACATCTGAACTGAATTTTTCATATTAACAGCAATATATGTTCACAGGTGGGGAGTGCCAAGGGTAGTTATATAGAAATGTAATTGATTAAGATTACATTTTGTAAGCAGTGGTTTTATCAACTAAAAGTTTCCCGAAAGTCAGGAGGAATGGGATTTATTTAGAGAAAGTGATATTTCACTAAATGGGTCAGTACGATTTTTACATGCCCTTGATAGGATATAAAATTTCTTGTATGTAGGAAATTGTATTGTAACCCATGATTAATTTAAAAAATGAAGTAATTTGAAGAATCTTTAATAAAAGTAAATGAAACATTCAATTCAGGTCTTCTAATGTAACAAACTCAATTCAAATTATATAGTTCCTAGTAGTTTCAGCTATATTACAGCTTTTCCCTTCATCTTGTCTCTACATTTGCAGATTTTTACATTTAGATTAATTAAAACATTCATCTAAACTTTTATTTCCTTTTAGTGTTAATTAATATTGCTCTGTGCTCTCTAGACTATTTTCTGGCTCAAAAGATTCTCATAATCTTTTATTGATTCTGTGTACTCTATAGTCTTTCCTAATAAGTTTCTACTTCATAAACAGCAAAAAGAATTTTAATATGTATATATAAGTCATACACATTTTTAATGTAAGGAAATACTTGCAAACAAAATAAGTTTGAAAAATGTTAAGAAGTACAAACAATCTACTCAAATAAAAGAGCCATTACAATTTTTTTGTTAAGTTTGATTTTTTTATTGAAACATAGTCACTAGGTATGTCAGATTTCCCCAGAGAAGTTGCTGAATACCCAAATATTGGAACCTACTCACTGTATTAGGTCAGAACTAGTGAAGATAGAGCTAGGGAATATTCAAAAATCTTATTAAAAATCCTCTCATCTGGTTATTCAATATATCAATATATCAACACATAAACAAAATAAGAATAATCAATTAAGATATGAACAATGTGAATTTGTAAAATATGTTTTTACCTATTTTTTAACTTCTATTTGAAGTTTGGGAGTATATGTGAAGGTTCATTACATAGGAAAACACATGTTACGGTTTTTTTTTTTTTTTGGTACATATAATTTCATCACCCAGGTATTAAGCACAGTATCAAAGAGTTATCTTTTCTGCTCCTCTCCCTCCTCCCACCCTCCACCCTCAAGGAGACCCTAGTGTGTGATGTTTTCTTCTTTGTGTTCTTATCATTTAGCTCCCACTTGTAAGTAAGAACATGCGGTGTTTGGTTTTCAGTTCCTGCATTAGTTGGTTATGGATAATAGCCTACAGCTCCATCTATGTTCCTGCAAAAGACATGATCTCACTCACTGTATAGCTGCATAGTATTCTATGGTGTATATGTACAACATTTTCATTATCTGATCTGTCATTGATGGGAATTTAGGCTGATTCCTTGTTTTTGTATCGTGAATAGTGCTGCAATAAATATTTGTGTGCATGTGTCTTTATAGTAGAACATTTTATGTTCCTCTGGGTATATACCCAGTAATGGGATTCCTGGGTCAAATGGTAGTTCTTCTTGTAGCTCTTTAAGGAATTGCCATACTGGTTTCAACAATGGTTGAACTAATTTATACTCCCACCAAGAGTGTGTAAGTGTTCCTTTTTCTCTGCAACTTCCCCAGTGTCTGTTATTTTTTGACTTTTTAGTAGCTATTCTGACTGGTGTGAGATGGTATCTCATTGTGATTTTTATTTGCATTTCTCTAATGATCAATGATGTTGAGCTTTTTTCGTATGCTTTTTGCCCATATGTATGTCTTCTTTTGAGAAATGTCTGTCACATCCTTTGCCCACGTTTTAATGGGGTTGTTTGTTTTCTCTTGTAAATTTGTTTAAATTCTTAATATTAATAGATACTAGGTATTAGACTTCTGTCAGATGCATAATTTCCAAATACCTACTCCCATTCTGTAGGTTGTCTGTTTACTCTGTTGATAGATTCTTTTGCTGAACAGAAGCTCATAAGTTTAATTAGATCCCACTTGTCAATTTTTGCTTTTGTTGCAATTGCTTTTGGTGTTTTTGTCATTAAATGTTTGCCCATTCCTGTGTCTAGGATGATATTGCCTTGGTTGTCTTCCAGGGTTCCTATAGTTTTGGGTTTTACATTTTAGCCTTTAGTTCATTTGAGTTGATTTTTGTGTATGGTATAAGGAAGGGGCTAGCTTCAAACTACTGCATATAACTAGCCAGTTATCCCAGCACCGTTTATTGAATAAAGACTCTCCCTTGCTTGTTTTTGTCAGCTCTGTTGAAGATCAGATAGTCGTAGATGTGTGGTCATATTTCTAGGCTCTCTATTTTGTTCCACTGGTCTATATTCCTGTTTTTGTACCTATAGCATGCTGTTTTGGTTACTGCCACCTCATAGTATAGTTTGAAGTCAGGTAATGTGATGCCTCCAGCTTCGTTCTTTTTGTTTAGGTTTGCCTTGGCTATTTGGGTTCTTTTTTGGTTCCATATAAATTTTAAAATAGTCTTCTCTAGTTCTGTGAAGACTGTTATTAGTAGTTTGATAGGGATAAAATTGAATCTGTATATTGCTTTGGGCAGTATAGCCATTTTAATGATACTGATTTTCCCTATCCATAAGCATGGGGTATTTTTCCATTGGTTTGTGTCTTCTCTCATTTCTTTAAGCAGTATTTTGTAATTCTCTTTGTAGAAATCTTTCAACTCTCTGGTTAGTTATATTTCTAGGTATTTTATTCTTTTGTGGCAATTGCGAATGGGAGTTTATGCAAGATTTGACTCTTGGTTTGGCTGTTGTTGATATATGGAAATGCTAGTAATTTTTGTACATTGATTTTGTATCCTGCTACTTTGCTGAATTTGTTTATCAGCTGGAGAAGCATTAGGGTTGAGAATATGGCGTTTTCTAGATATAGAATCATATCATCTGAAGACAGATAATTTTACTTCCTCTCTTCACACTTGGATGCTCTTTCTTTCTTTCTCTTGCCTGATTGCTGTGGCTAGGACTTCCAATACTATGTTGAACAGGAGTAGTGAGAGAAGACATCCTTACCTTGTGCAGGTTTTCAAGGAGAATACTTTCATATTTTGCCTATTCAGTATAATGTTGGCTGTGGGTCTGTCATAGATAGCTCTTACTATTTTGAGGTATGTTCCTTCGATACCTATTAATAGTTTACTGAAGGTTTTAAACATGAAGTGGTATTGAATTTTATCAAAAGACTTTTCCGCATCTATTGAGAGAATCATGTGGTTTTTGTCTTTAGTTCTGTTTATGTGATGAATTACATTTATTGATTTGCATATGTTTAACCAACCTTGCATTCTGGGAACAGAGCCAACTTGATTATGGTGGATAAGCTTTTTGACGTGTGCTGGATTTGGTTTATAAGTATTTTGTTGAGCATTTTTACATCAATGTTTGTCGAGGACATTGGCCTTAATTTTTTTTTTTTTTTTTTTTTTTTTTTTTTTTTTTTTTTTTTTTTTTTTGGTATCTCTGACAGGTTTTAGTATCAGGAGGATGCTGGTCTCCCAGAATGAGTTGGGAGGGGTTGCTCCTCCTCAAATTTTTTAAATAGTTTCTGTAGAAATGGTACCAGCTCTTCTTTGTACATCTGGTAGAATTTGACTGTGAATCCATCATGTACTGGGCTTTTTTAGTTGGTAGGCTATTTATTATTGATTGAATTTTTGAGCTCATAATTGCTCTGTTCAGGGAATCAGTTTCTTCCTGGCTCAGTATTGGGAGGGTATACCGGTGAAGAAATTTACCCTTCTTTTCTAGGTTGTCTAGTTTTTGTACATAAGAATGTACATAGTAGATTCTGATGGTTATTTTTAATTTCTGCTGCGTTGGTAGTAATAGTCCCTTCATTATTTCTAATTGTATTTATTTGGATCTTCTCTGTTTTCTTTTTTATTATTCTAACTAGTGACCTATTTTATTACTTTTTTAAAAAATCATCCTCTGGATTTGTTGATCTTTTTAATGGTTTTTCATGTCTTGATTTTCTTTAGTTCAGCTGTGATATTTGTAATTTCTTGTCTTCTGCTAGCCTGGGGGTTGATTTCTCTTTGCTTCTCTAATTCTTTCAGTTGTGATGTTAGGTTGTTAATTTGAGATCTTTCTAATTTTTGGATGAGGGCATTTAGTTCTATGAATTTTCCTCTTAACCCTACTTAAGCTCTGTCCCAGAGATTCTGGTTTGTTGTATCTATGTTCTCATTATTTTCAAAGACCTTATTGATTTCTGCCTTAATTTTATTATTTACTCAAAAGTTATTCGGGAGCAGGTTGTTTAATTTCCATATAGTTACATAGTTTTGAGTGATTTTCTTAGTCTTGACTTCTGTTTTTATTGTGCTGTGGTCTTTTACATTTGTTGAGGATTGTTTTAATGTCCAATTATGTGGTTGATTTTAGAGTATGTGCCATGTAGCAATGAGAAGAATGTATACTCTGGGTTTTTGTTGTTGTTGTTGTTGTTGGAGAGTTCTGTCAAGGTCTATCTGACCCATTTAGTCCAATATTGGGTTTAGGTCCTGAATATCTTTGTTAATTCTCTGCCTCAAAAATCTGTCTAATACTGTCAGCAGAGTGTTGAAGTCACCCACTATCACTGTGAGGTTGTCTATGTCTCTTTGTAGTCTTTAAGAACTTGCTTTATGAATCTGAGTACTCCTGTGTTGGGTGCATATATATAAAGGATAGTTAGGTCTTCTTGTTGAATTGAACCCTTTATTATTATGTAATATTCATTTTTTGTCTTTCTTGATCTTTTTTGGTTGAAGTCTGTTCTGTGTAAAATTAAGATTGCAACCCCTGCTTTTTCCTATATTCCATTTGCTTGGTAGATTTTTTTCTTTATCCCTATATTTTGAGCTTATGAGTGTCATTATGTGTGAAATGGGTCTTTTGAAGATGGCATACGATTGGTTCTTGTTTTTTTTTCTTTTTTTCCCAAGACAAAGTTTTGCACAGTCGCTGAGGCTGGAGTGCAGTGGTGCAATCTTGGCTCACTGCAGTCTCCACCTACTGGGTTCAAGCAATTCTCCTGCCTCAGCCTCCTGAGTAGCTGGGATTACAGGCACGCGCCACCATGCCCAACTAATTTTTGTATTTCTAGTAGTGACAGGGTTACACCATATTGGCCAGGCTGGTCTTGAACTCCTGACCTCGTGATCCTCCCACCTTGGACTCCCAAAGTGCTGGGATTACTTGCCACTCTGTTCCTTTCAAGTGGGGTATTTAGTCCATTTACATTCAAGGTTAGTCTTGATATGTGTGAATTTGATCCTGTAATTGTGCTGTGAGCTGGTTATTATGTTGGCTTGTTTTGTGGTTGCTTTACATTGACCCTAGTCTGCGTGTTTATGTGTGTGTGTGTGTGTGTGTTTTAATTTTATTATTATTATACTTTAAGTTTTAGGGTACATGTACACAACGCAGGTTTGTTATATATGTATACATGTGCCATGTTGGTGTGCTGCACCCATTAACTCGTCATTTAGCATTAGGTATATCTCCTAATGCTATCCCTCCCCACTCCCCCCACCCCACAACAGTCCCTGGTGTGTGATGTTCCCCTTCCTGTGTCCATGTGTTCTCATTGTTCAATTTGTACTAACTAGTAGTGGTCTTTCCTTTCTATGTTTAGTTATCCTTTGAAGATCTCTTGTAAGACAGATCTAGTAGTAATGAATTTCCTCAACATTTGCTTATCTGAAATGGATCTTATTTCTCTTTTACTTAGGAAGCATAGTTTGGCTGGATGTAAAATTCTTGGTTGATTGTTTTTTTCTTTAAGAATGTTAAATATAAGCCCCCAATCTCTTCTAGCTTGTAGGGTTTCACCTGAGAGGTCCACTGTTAGCCTGATGGGGTTCCCTTTGTAGGTGACCTGTTCTTTCTCTCTAGCTACCTTTAACATTATTTCTTTCTTTTCTACCTTGGAAAATCTGATGATTGTGTGTCTTGGGGATGGTCTTCTTCTGTAGAATCTTTCAGGAGTTATCTGTATTTCTTAAATTCGACTGTTGGCCTCTCTAGCAAGGTTGGGGAAGTTGTCATGGATGATATCCTCAAATATGTTTTCCAAGTTATTTGCTTTCTCCCCATCCCTTTCAGGGATGCTAGTGACTTCTAGATTTTGGCTTTTTACATAATCCCATGGTCCTAAGAGATTTGTTCATTTCTATTTATTCTTTTTCTTTATTTTTATGTCTGTCTTATTTCAGATTACCAGTCTTCAGGATCTGAGATTGTTTCCTCAACTTGGTATATTCTGCTGTCAATACTTGCGATTGCATTTTGAAATTTCTGTACTGTGTTATTTAGCTCTATCAGACCCATTAGGTTCTTTTTTATACCAACTATTTTACCCTTCAGCTCCTGCATCACTTTATTATAACTTTTATTATTCTTGGATTGTGTTTTTACATCCTTCTGAATCTCAATAATGGCTGTATTAATGTATATTACCACCAATGGTATATAAAAATTTCCTTTGATTCATATTTTGCCAGCATTTGTTATTTTTTGTCTTCTGATGATAGCCATTCTAACTAGAGTGAAATGGCATCTGATTATGGTTTTGATTTGCATTTCCCTGATGGTTAGTGATGTTGAGCCTTTTGGTTGGCCATTTGTATGTCCTCTTTTGAGAAATGTTTGTTGAGATCCTTTGTTCATCTTTGACTTGGATTATTTGGTTTCTTGCTATGGAGGATTTTTTTTAGCTCATTGTACATTCTGGATACTTGTTCCTTGTTGGACAAATAGTTTACAAATATTTCCCCCATTCTATAGGTTGTCTTTTCAGTCTGTTGATTGTTTCCTTTGCTCTGCAAAAGCTTTTTAGTTTATTGTAGTCTCATTTGACTATTTTTGGATTTTGTTTTGCCTGATCTATTTTGTTTTGATGGACAGTTCAATAGTGTCTAGCTGAAGCTATTACAAATAGCACTGCCATGAGTGAAGGTATGCATTCTAACAATATGTATGCATTATTGGAAGACACACACATTTGTGATGGTTGTTGATATAGTAACCCTAGTAAAGGGTATTTAAGCAAAACTACATATGGTATTCTTACAAGTAATATATAAAGCATTTTAGGTTAAATATTAGCAAATGAAAACTTTCATTTTAAAATTCAAAAGTCAAATATGCATTCAAAATATACATTTATTTATAATTATATCTTCTTAGTTATTAGATGCCTCACACAAATAAATTTCACACAAGTAATTACAGGGACTTTGGCACTGCGGGAGATTGTTTTTTAAAATTTAAGTATGTCATTATTATAACCCCATTTTGCACATTTCTATAAAACACATTCCTGGTGTTTATTTAACTCTGTAATCATAGGAACATTGGTCTTACTTTAATCCCACTTTTTTCCATTTTTTAGCTATTCAAAATACAATATCTATCACCAACACTTGGACAAAATCACTTAGAGAATTCTTGGAAGATAGTGAGGATTCTTGGAAGATAGTGAATCTCAATCCTGTCAACAAAAGTAAACCTCTTTAAAAATACCCATTCCTGAGCCTTATTCAGATTTTTCTAATGTATAGTGAAGAACAGAAATCATTACTACAGTCAGATAGGAAGAAAAAGAGCCAAAGCTGAATCATAGCACATTTTAGAAACAGGAACCAAGCAAAAGGGGAAGAAACACAAATTAAGACAAGAGACAAGACGGAGATTGTATTGAAAATTAAAATTTAGAGGAAGTTTGGGAATTGACTACTGGATTTGGCAGAATGAATGTTGTAATTTTAACAATGGTGGATTAATAGTATGCTAGGATAAAATCCTAATTATAGTATTTTAGAGAGTGGAATGTGAGAAAGTAGAAACAGCCAGGATAGAGGGCTACTTAGGGGTTTTGCTATAAAGAAGACTCAAGAAGAGTGTGAAGGAATTGTGGGGTTAAGGGCAAGCATTATTCTAATTGCAGTTAGTTCATCATGATTGCATGATGATGTGAATGATCTCTCAGGGAGTGAAAAAATGGTAGTGCATGAATGATGGTGCAGGAACTGAATGAAGACATATAGTCCAGTAAAGTAAGGAGCACACACTGTTCATACATTTTAACAAGATTTAAACAAAGTATATGTGCTCAAGGTGCAGTTTTGGGAAAAGATTTGGTGGTGAGAGCTGAGGGTGTTATCTTGATTCTGTTTATTCATTTTCTCTGACAAATAAATAGTGAAGCAAAATTTGAAAAGAAGGAGGAAGACAATTTCATTGTTGTTGATCTGTATTGAGAAGAAAGTTTGTAAACTAGTTAACTCAGATCATAGGAAAAAAATGTTGTCAGTTTTGGTTACATATTCAAATTAAGATCATCCACAATTATTGTCTTTCTTCTTCAGTAAAAACAAGCACCTTGGTCCAAAAAGAGAAAATTAAAGCTCTACTCAAAGGTAAAAAGGTAGAGTCATAAGAATATTTTTTACTAATCAAACAAACAAAAAACTGGATTTGTTGTCACCTTAAACTAGAAAAATAAAGCAATATAAAAATGGAGTAAGAAAAGCGTAATAGAGATAAAATATGAAATCAGTAAAATTGAAAACAAAATGTAGAGATTTATAAAATATGACCCCTCCAAAAATATTTTGAAGCAAGAAAACAGATATAATCATAGATATGGAAAATATTAAAAATTATCCATAACAATTTTTAAAATCCAGAGGAAATAGCTGAATCTCTGTCAAAATTTAAATTGACTCAAGAAAACCATACAAGTTTAATAGATCTATAAGTACAGAATTGACCAAAGAAAAAGTAATTAAAAATGTACATTTAAATGTACCAGTCCAGGTAGCTCCATAGCCAACAACTCACTAAATTTTCAGGAAGCTACAATTTTATAATTACTGAAGTTATTTTGGTGCTCTTCCCCCATAAAATATAGAGTTTCCTAATTCATCTTGTTTGAATCCAGCACTTCCAACATAAAAATACCATGTATAAACTTAAAACTATCAAATAACTCACACTTAATCATAACGATTTAAAAAACATAAAAATATAAGCCAATAATTCTAGAAATGTGCCAACATCTTATTCACTATAAATATAAAGTAAATATAGAAGCACGGATAAGTGAATATAAAAATGCAAAACAAGATGTAAAAATCAGTTATCTGTGTTTGAGGATTGTGGGCATAAGATAATTAATTCCACCAGTATTAAAAAATGACCATAGAAAGACTGCATACATGATAAAATTCCACTAATGTCATATAAGACGTTATTGTTATACATGTGTAATGGGATCACAGGCATTTCTTTCCTTTCCTCCTTCTTTCCTTCCTTCCTTCCTTCCTTTTTTCCTCAGCATTTCACTTTTCTCTTTTTCTCTTTTCTTTTTTTTGTCTTCCTAAATTTTACTGGTACTGAAATAGAACATGGATTGAGCATAAACCCCTCCAAAAACAATTTTTAAAAACCCCAAAAAGTACACAAAAAAACCCTGAATAAAAAATTTAACCTTTCTCCCCAGCCTCCCTAAGGGTAAGTTACTGACTTTAAGGCAGCTATTAATAGATTGCCCCACAATTCCAAGTTTGAATTTAGCCAATATAGGGCATATCACCAAGTGAGTGCCAATATAATTCACAGCAATGCACAGAAGACTCCTCAAGGTCAGGCACAGAGTGGGGGGTGGTGGACGGGGAATTGAGGGAGGTTCTAAGCTAGAGGCTCTTTATGGTGGGACAGGGTGGCCCCTTGAGGGCTGAACCCTGAGGAGAAGACAAACAGGAATAATAAAAACAAACAACAAGTACTTTAAGAATGGATTGTATGACCTATAGTGACAGATGACATCACTAATATGAAAGCTTCTTATATTAATATTTTTGGCAAAATGTCATTTTGTAATATAGTATATGCTTTCCAGGTGTGGGAGTGGTAAAGGAATGAGGCCAAAATGATCCTGCCCCAAGACTAATATCTTCTAATGGTGCATTAGCAAGGAAGACAGAAATCAATATTTAGGTATCAGTAGAATACATAACACTGTAGAAAGAAGAAGAGTACACATGAGACAGAGAAGGAGGTGGAGGCTCCTGGGTTGAAAGCAAGGCGTGGGGGTGTGGAAGGGACTAGGCTAGAATTACCCGCAGCTCTCTGGTTTACAGCTCCAAGGGACAGAACAGCTGGTGTCAAGACCTGGGTTAGAAGTTTGTCAAACAGAGGCAGGGCCTAGTCACCACTTTGGAGGGGAGTGATGAGAAGGGGATTTTGGTCATGTGACAGGGTTGAGTAAACTGGGATCAGGGCACAGGCTTCTCTCACCATACTCAGCTTCTTGCACTCACTCCCTAGTTGAGCCTACAGGCATCAAGCTCTAGATGCCAAGGCCGGGATGGCTGTGGAGCAGGAGCTATAGCCCAAGTAGCTCTGAGAGAGGAAGAGACCTAAAACTCCTGGCAGGGAAAATACTGAAGCTGGGTGTGAACATATCCTCTCTTTTCACAAGAATCCTGATGGGGCTGGCTGAGCTTTTGGGTACTCATCCCTACTGTTATAGCTGGAAAGGATTTGGGTACTGAAGCAGGGAGGGGCAGATCCCACGAAGTGACTGCAGGTCCGGAATAATAAGGGGTAGCTCTGCCCATGGAGCTCACTTTAGACAGGCCTATACTCCTGTAAAGAATTGGGGTAGGATCTTCTACTCAGCCTTGCCAGAATAGAATGGCCAATGGCCTTCTAGTACATTTGGTGAAGCCTCTTGAAGGCACCGTTTCCCCCATCCACCCTGGGGAGAAATTGAGTCCCTAAAGTCAACAACAAGGCTTATTGAGGCTGAGTTTGTAACAGGTCCAATCTGGGAGGTAGAAATAAAAATGACTGAACATCTTTCTATCCCCCAGTCATTACAAAGCCTAAATAACTATAAACGGGATGGGCACTGGGAGGACAAATTTTAGGTTAATTGACAGCCTGGAGCAGATATCCAAGGTCCTGTCTCATTCCCTAAACCGCAAAACACTCCAACCCTGTAAATCTCAGGACCCTGAAGAAGAAGGCAGTGGTAGGGGAGGGGAGGGGAGCTAGCTTCCAACCTACTCCACACTTGACTCCCATAGGACAACAGTAAGTGTAAGGGTATTTGCAAAATCAAATGGAAAGTACCTCTGGGCTGGAGAAGTGGAATATTCTAGCAACACAGATTAAATGGAACAGAGATGAGAAAGGAGGTTCCATTGGCACCATAGTGAGCCATTCATTTGCCCAGGGAAGTGGGTGGGGGCTAAGGGTCTAGGGCTGGTCCCATGGCTACACTAAATGCTTGGCATGACTCCAGGGCTGCTCTAGTTAGTGACTCCAGCACAGTATGAGTTAGGTGAGTTAGGTGTAAGAGTGTGGGACAAGGAAAAAGGGAGGAGCGGTCCCTAGAGGCTGGGTGCCCATTACTTAGACTCAAATTCGTCAATGTGCTGCTTGTTGCTGCCCTGACGATCTGGCACAGGGTCTTGTATTTATCTCGGCCCAGTCACATGTTCTCAGCATGGATCATGTCATTGGCAGTCTTCTTGGACTCATCTCGGGCACTGGCCAGCTCCGAAGTGAGGGCCTTCAGGTGCTTCTGCACACGCTCATTCTTCTCTGCCTCAGTGGTACATTCCTCCTCACTGCGGTCCTTGGCCATAGCATCAGCCCGTAGGTCAGCACTAGCCTCTGCCCCATTCTCATCCTGCTCATCCTGCTCATTCTCAGCAGGCTCTGCCACATGAGATGTACTCATGGCAGTCTTCAGCTCAGCACGGGTCTTCTCCAAGTCTTCCTGTACCATCTGGGCCTTCTGCTGCCACTCCATAGCCTCACTCTCTTTCTTCTGTCGGGCCAGTTCCAGCTGAGAGATTTGAGCTGTCAGCTCTGCCATTTCCAAGGCCAGCTATTCCTGAGTCTTTTTCTGGTCCCGGGAGGCCTGCAGCAAGACTTCCTTGGCCTCTTCAGCTTCTTGAAGCTCCTTGGCCAGCTTTTCAGCCTCGCTCTGGGCATGCTTCCGTTCCTTCCCAAGTTCCAGAGCCCTACGGGTCTGTTCTTCCAGTTCTTGCTGAGCCTTCTTAGTCTGTTCCTCGATCTGCTTCAGCCTCCCCATCAGCTCCTTCTCCCGTTCAATCTTCTCTTTCTGCTTTTCTGCCATTTCACGCTTCTTCTCATTTTCCAGCATAGCACGCTCCATCTGCTTCTGGTGCTTCTCCTCCCGGGCCCGTGCCTTCATCTGCTGCACCTCAATGGTGTCAGGCTTGCGACGGCGCATGTATAGTTCACGGTTCCCCATGCACAAGGCCAAGATCCGCTTGTTAATCTGCAGCCAGGGAGCATAGAAGACAAAGTCCGGGGCTCTTTTGTCAATGGGCTTGATGACAAAGTTCTTATCATTGAAAGAAATGCTCCTGATTTCACTCCAAGGAAAGCCTATCTTGGGAGTTAGTCTGTCATGCTGCTCATAGATGTTGAGACCCAGTGCATCCACCCCCAGCCACAGCTCTGAGCCTTTCTTTTTCTTGATGCTGAAGTAGTTTACACCATACATCTCCAGATCTTGAGCAATCTTCAGATACTCCAGGACAGCATCCTCCCTGAGCATGCCACGGTGTTCCTCATGCCACACCTGGATCCGCTCCTCCCACTGGTCCTTGCTGAGTTTGTGCTGTTCCAGGACTCTCTGTGGGAGCAACTCGTCTCCGGCCAGGTAGCCAGACTTATGCACCTCCTTACTGAAGTTCCCATACTTAGACTGGACAGCATGGGAGGCCAGCAGCACAGCAGTCTCAGGCCGGCAGTAAATATCATCACTGAGAATGCCCTCTTTCACTTGCAGAAGGAACAGACGCTGAGTGGTGTCCTGAATCAATTCCTCGGTCGGACACATCCTCAGGGTAGAACTTGGCACTGAACTTAAAGAGCAGGGGGCTTTCCTTCCGCACTTCCTGGGCAGTCACCTTCTTAATTGAGTTTCAGC
Source organism: Homo sapiens (assembly GCF_000001405.40). Lineage (NCBI taxonomy): Eukaryota > Metazoa > Chordata > Mammalia > Primates > Hominidae > Homo > Homo sapiens. The sequence goes on along the minus strand of NC_000005.10, from coordinate 25,909,675 downwards.
CAGGTGGAGAAACCTTTGGTGTCCTGGTACTGCAGACCAAAGAAACAAACTTCCCTCAAGCCAATAGTTTTCACCACCTGGTCAAATAGCTGCTTCCCGGTGGTGTTGGGCTGGATGGTAAACTCCAGCTCTGCGTCCATGGTGGTCACACGCACACTGATCGTTTTGGGCATGGTGGCGGCAAAGGCAGCGGAGTTAGCGAAGTTTAGCTAGGACTGTCGGGCAGTGCTGAGCATGCAGTACACACGGCTGGGATTCGGCTGGCCGGGGACTCAGATTGGGTCCCTCACTAGCGTCGGGGCGACTGTTAGGCTTCCTGCTAACGGGCCACGACTTCACAAACCCCACCCAGGCAAGAGCCGCCTCTGTTGAGCCGCCCGCTCCTTTACGTGGCCCGGCTTCCGCGCCGCTCCCCGCCCTCGCGCCCGCCTCCCCTCCGACGGCTGGCCTTGCCCTGCCCAGACTTTCTCTCTTCAAAGAACATAAATTGTCTATGTTTTGATAAAAATTATAAAAACTATTTATTTAGCTTCAGAGAGCGTAAGAGGGACCTACTTGCAGGTGACCTCACCAGTTGAGAAACCATTTAATTAATCCAATTGTGCACATTGCAAGAGAGTGGAATGATAATGCAGATTTGAGAAATATGAGAGGCAATTATCTTATCTACACAATATCTAAAACTTAGCACGCATTATTATCTGTTACATATAGAGGAGAAAACTGAAACTCAAAAAGGTTAAATTATACAGCCAGTACCTCTGTGGTATGGTAGTAAAGGGCAGTGCTAGGGCCAAAACAGAAGTGTCAGAATCCAAATAAAAGTCAGTGCTTCATTACTCTGTGCCTTGCCTTCTCATATGTAGATGTTCACTGAATTAATGTTCTTGCTTCCGAGAAAGGTTTTATGTTGTTCCAGCTGTGGCAGCTGTTTTGTTATTATAGCATATCCTTTATACACCTTAATTTTTTCAATAGCTAACTTTGATTGCACGGCATATATTAGACACTTCACAATTTAATATTAACAATGAACCCAAAAAATAATATTTCTATGTTATAGAAGAGAAAATCAAGACACACAAATTTAAAAGTACCTCCCAAATTTGCATAGCTAATAAATAGTGGATATGAAAAAGAAAACCATGCAACTGAACTCTGGGGTAAATTCTCTAACCTACTGCTTTGCTTCATTGCCAAGCCAGTGATAACTAAAAGCCCTCAGATGAGCCCAAGTTTATGCAAGATGCTAACAAAGTTTTGACATTTATCCTTGCATTTAATAAACAACTACATTATATGTACAATATGGTATGCACTGTTCTGGGCACTGAATATTAACCATCAATAAAACAGTGATACAAAAAAATACATTAATTAAGTTTTACCCTCTGGACAGGCTTGAGCCTAAGGGTGTAAAGTAGCTAACAGTCAGGACCACAGACAAAAGAATCAAAACACTGAGGCAGGAGAATGGCATGAACCCGGAAGGCAGAGCTTGCAGTGAGCGGAGATCACGTCACTGCACTCCAGCCTGGGTGACAGAGCGAAACTCCATCTCAACAAAACAAACAAACAAACAAAAAAAGAATCAAAACAATTGTTTCTAGGAAAACTGGTCAGACAGCAGAAAACTAAATGATAATACATTTTGAATTGTTTTTGCTAGACTCAACAAACTGAATTTTAGCATTCCACCAGGCCATACCCCACTGTAACCAATCAGTTCTGAAGTGATAAACCAACGGTTTGATTGAAAGGGATTACCTTTCCTGGTGAAATTTGTGGTATTGCCTCTATAAGCTCTACTTTTCACTAGTCACAGGGGCCCTTCTCCTTCATATAAACCTATATACCAGCAAATCCCCAAATACCTTAGACTGGTTGCCTTTCACTTAGATTTTGCAGCTGAGAATCCACTAAGTTTCAAAATGTTATTGATTGATTGATTTGTTACTATATCAAAAATATAAGAAACCTACTTCCAGTATAAGCGACAGAGCTTACCAAACATATTCCTTCCCCAACTCCCACTAATCCCCATGACAGAACAGAAAGGGAAAGTCAAAAGGATGGTATAAATTTTAAAACATAATCAAAGTCATATAAAGAATTCTGACACACAGACTCCTTATTTTGTAAAGTAACACTTCCTGTATTTTCGGTAAGCAGAAACTTTCAGAAAGAAAGCAAAATGTAATGTAAGTCAAAGTCCAAACTATCCTGTATAGCTGAACTAAATTCCTTTGCTTTTCTATTCGATTTGCTTTTTAAAATCATACCTATCCAGTAGCTGGTCACAAGCCTTTTACTTTGTCTTCTTCATACCTTTCATTTTGGGTGTTTTATAAAAAATAATGCTTTTGTAGCTAGTCAGTCTTCTTTCTTCTTTAGCTTTTTTATGCTGGTTTTTAGAGTTTCATTTATCCTCTCTCCCAATCACTCTGAACCATATAAAAACATTTTCTTACATGTAACATTCTTCTTGTAGAATATGTTAAATATACCAATATATTTTTTCATTTAACCCAGCTTCAAGTTTCCCATTTTATCTTATTTTAATTTTTTTTCTTTTTTTCAGTTATAAATACGAAGAAAAAATAAAAACAAAAAAAATTTTCAACAAAATGTTAGAAACAAAATATTTTTGTGTTCCAGCATTTTAGATTTTAGCTTTTCTTTCATCATGTAACAGAGCACCGTCACCTGGTAACTACACTCAGAATGAAGTTTTGAGTAAGAGTTGGGTCTATGCGTGGCAGATTCATGTACCTTCCACATTTCTCACATGTAATCAGTCACCATAGCTTGTGAATATCAACTCCACTGTAACTATTTATTGGCCAGGGAAAGGTCATCTAAAAACACATTTAGTTTTTCTTTTCTCTAGGTTATTTATAAAAACAAAAACACACACAAAAAAAGAGAGAAACTCTATATTCTACCGGTGTTCACCTATCTTACATAGATATTTGTCTTACTAAAATTCTGTTTCCCATTTAAAACCTCCTATAACTTTTGATAATTTATTCAATCAATTGCAAACTTTTTAGCACTCCATTCTAAGTTTTTATTGACTATCTCTTTTTTTTCTTGAGGATAGTAACTGTATTTTATTCTTCATATTTACAGCATTTCTTTACGTGACTGGAATGTGACATATTCTCACAGGTTTTTATAACTCAATTGATTTAAGTTACAATAAACTGAAGTTACTATTAAGTTTTATCATAAGGTTTCACATGTAGAAATAATTGCAGAAATTTTGTTCTATAAATTCTTCCTCTACATTTCAAATGATCGACACAATAATTTTATGTCAATTCATCAACTGTTAAAAACAATATAGCCTATATTAAAGAGCAACTTTAAAGTTTCACCTTTTATTCTGAGACCTAACAATCTGATTAAATACATAATTGATAAGGTTGACACCACCTCCATGTGTAAGAATACAAAACTAATCTGCTTTTCCATGTCCCTTTTAATATAATCTAGCAATCTATCTGTACATATACCTATCAGTTATGAGTTCAATTTTGTCTCCTAATAAATATATGTTGGAGTCCTAACCACAAGTAGCTCAGAATGTGATTTCATTTGGAATGAAAATCTTTACAGTGATAATCAAGTTAAAATGGGGTCATTAGAGTGCACCCTAATCCAGTTGACTGGTATCATTATAAATAAGGAAAAATATGAAGAGTCAGACATGCACAGAGGGAAGACTACATGAGAGAGGCAGAGAGAACATCAGGCAAAGGCAGAAGACTTGAGCAATGCATCTGCTAGCCAGGAAATGTCAAAGATTGCTGGCAAGCCACCGGAAGCTAGGAGAGTGACACGGTACAGACTCTCCCTCACAGCCCTCAGAAACTGACCCTGCCACCTTGATTTCAGACCTCCAGCCTCTAGAACTGTGAAAAAATTATTTTCTGTTCTTTTAAGCCACCCAGTTTGTGGTTCTTTCTTATGGTAGCCCTAGGAAGTTAATGCTTTCTATCTATTTATCTACCTATCAACTATCATTTATCTATCTGAGTTGTATTCCTGAATTACAAATATGTCAGGCCTGTTTTGATCAACGGGTAGAGGAACCACAAAAGTTGCTTGTTGCTTGATATGGTTTGGCTATGTCCCCACCCAAATCTCATCTTGAAATGTCATTCCCATTATCCCCAAGTGTCGTGGGACGGACCTGGTGAGAGGTAATTGAATCATGGAGCCGTTACCCACATGCTATTCTCATGATAGTGAGTGAGTTCTCAAGAGATCTGATGCTTTTAAAAGCGGCTTTCCCCCTTTTTGCTCAACACTTCTTGCTGCCACCATGTGAAGAAAGATGTGTTTGCTTCCCCTTCTGCCATGATGATATGTGTCCTGAGGCCCCTCCAGCCATGCTGAACTGTAAATCAATTAAACCTCTTTACTTTACAAATTACCCAGTCTCGGGTATGTCTTTATTAGCAGCATGAGAATGGACTAGTACATTGCTACATCTATTGTTATACTTACTACATGTTGTCTCATGGACACTTGGAATTTAAAACCAAATTTCCCATGTCCAGATTATGAAGCAGACGCCAAAATTGGTTACATATTTGGGTTTCAAGTTGTATAGCTCTTGTTTGACCTGTTGTTATCCAAAAGAGCGTACTATCAGATTGTAGGGATGTAGCTGGTTTTCAACCTTAGTCCCAAGCTGTTCCAGGACCAGACTTCTGATTTTTGTGGGAGGCCTGAGATATTGAATGATACTCTCCCTTACCTCAAGATAATTCTATTTTGGGGACTTACATATTCTTTTTTGTTTTTTTTTACTCTTTTTTTGTTTGTTTGTTTTTGTTTTTGAGATGAAGTCTCACTCTTCTCCCCCAGGCTGGAGTGCAATGGCGCGATCTTGGCTCACCACAACCTCTGCCTCCCTGGTTCCAGCGATTCTTCTGCCTCAGCCTCCGGAGTACCTGGGATTACAGATGCCTGCCACCACACCCAGCTAATTTTTGTATTTTTATTATAGACGGGGTTTCACCATGTTGGCCAGGCTGGTCTTGAACTCCTGACCTCAGGTGATCCGCCCGCCTCTGCCTCCCAAAGTGCTGGGATTACAGGCATCAGCCAGCCACCACACCTGGCCTCTTTTTTGTTTTTTGACCCTGTGTTTTGATCATAGATATCTGGTCCATAGTAACACTTCCTAATCAAGATCTGATGAGGCTCAGAGATTAGCGATCTCAGTCCGTGTTCTCACACAAATAGAACATATAAATTATTCCACCAGTGTGCACTGGTGATTTGCTTTTGATAGTAAAGTACTTAGTAAGATTGTGTGGATCACATATACACAAAAAAATCTCATTACCTTTATATTGCAGGATAATAAGTGCCTACTCAGATGGCATTTACTAAAATATCTATGTGGTAACTATAGTGTATATTAGGTGTCTGCACACACACAAAAATACGTGCATACTTACGTGGGTCCAAACATTTGATTTTGAAAAGCTTATATAGTATGTATAAAAAAATATTATTGGCTGGGCCTGGTGGCTCACGCCTGTAATCCCAGCACTTTGGGAGGCCGAGGCGGGCAGATCACAAGGTCACGAGATCGAGACCATCCTGGCCAATAGGGTGAAACCTTGTCTCTACTAAAAATGCAAAAATTAGCTGGGCATGGTGGCACGTGCCTGTAATCCCAGCTACTCTGGAGGTTGAGGCAGGAGAATGACTTGAACCAGGATTTCAAAGGTTGCAGTGAGCCACTGCACTTCAGCCTGGCAACAGAGTGAGACTCTGTCTCAAAAAACTAAAAAATAATAATAATAATAGTAATAATCTAACTGGATGATATCTGTGGAGGTAGACCATTAAATCAAATATTTTTAAAAACATCAGTCAGCATAGATGACATCTCAAATCAAGTCATTCACTCCCCCAATAAATTCCTAGGCAACATTCATTTTGCTTACTGTGGCAACTCAGGAAAAAATATAAATCTATGCTGATAGTATCAATTGAACAGAGAGAGGAATGTTGCTGTTGGAATAAAAACATAGGTGGCATAAATCAACCTTACTGAACCATTCATCATTGCTTGCTAAGATTGTTTTCATCTCTCTCACTGGTAGTGTAGACACTTGACAATAGTGCAAAATATCCACAAAACTTGCAAGTTGGAGAACGGAAAAACCACACCTGGATTAAGAATGTCAGCATGCTTAAAAAGATTAACGTAGCCTGACAAATAATTAAAAAGATATCATTTAAAAGTAGAGGTGCTGCTGGTTCAAGTATTATCTGAACTATGTCCATGTAGTACTCAAGAAAGTAAAAATGTTTAGTTTGATAAAACAAAATACGGATTTCTGCCACTCTTGACATTGAACATGTCTTATTACAAAAAAATTGTATTTGAATATTGAATAAAAATATAAAACGCAAAATTGTGGTGTTGCCTATTCAAATTATCATAATTCAATTTTTTTCTAAAATTTACAGTTTTATGCCCACCTATTTCCTATTTCTGGCTTGCAGTTTGTGTAATTTTTCCATAAAAATAGAAAATTTATAAATATACTGGTGGACAACTATTAAAGTCTGACTGTCAAAGGAATTTGATGTGTGTTGCGTGAACTTCTGGGATTTTTAAATATTTTTTAATATTGCCATTATTTTTTTAAAAAAAACCTTTCCTAGTGATATATTACACTGCTAACATTATTTCATATAAAATAATACGAAATAACATGTAATTAAATAGTGAGTTCTATATACCAAAAGTGCCTCTGTAATGACTTTTATATGCTTAATACTTAAATGATATCCAAATAGACATTGGACACAACTTTAATGTTTTTTTTTCTTTTTAAATCTGGATTATTATCATATACGAGCTTCTTTCTGTTTACTGGCTTTGCCACATATATGCTACAAAGATTTATTAAAAATTTTTATAACCATATGGTAAATTGAGCAGTGAATAACACAATAAGGAAGCCAGATTTTTCTGGGAAATACAAAGCATCAGTTTAATAATAGTAACCTGTCTTTTTCTGTTTTTACTTTTGTCAGTTGGACAGATGATCAAAGAGTATGCAGCCAAAATTTAGAAAAACATTTAAGGGATTATAGAGATGTCTTGGGGATTTAAATAATGATTTTAGAAGCTGTTTTTTTGTGTGTGTGTTTTTATTTGTGGCACTTGTCAACTTTCAATTACATCTTTTAATTAGAATTCTCACTGTAAAAAAAGTGTAAAAAATAGTATTAGTTAATTTTGTATTTGTTTGTTATATTGATGTTTTTCAAGCGTCCCCCACAAGTCACATAACTCAAGTTCTGCAAACTGGATCTCTTTGTTTCAGACACTGTCAGAAAAGTGCTTTCATAGAGGCCCGTGGTTTACGTCCCACAGTTGATGCCCCATGACCTTGTCTTCCACTACATGGCCAAACCTAGATTGCTGCCTTTCCCTTCAACATCTGCCTCTAATTTTGCCTATATCACTTCTGCTTGGTTGCAGTTTCCTTACAGTTATGTCATCCATGGAGAAGTTTTCTCAAATGAGAATGCTAAGGAGCTTCTTTACATACAACAGGTCCAAAGTCTTTGTCCAAAGACTTTGCTGTGGCAAGCAGTATGTTTTTTTATTAATCAGTTTCTAAATACGTCAAAAATCATTACTGCAGGGCATATAAATTCTTCCACCACCAATCAAAAGGATCCACATATTATCTTAAAATATACAACATTGGTCAGGCACGGTGGCTCACGCCTGTAATCCCAGCACTTTGGGAGACTGAGGCGGGCAGATCACGAGGTCAGGAGATCAAGACCATCTTGGCTAACACGGTGAAACCCCATGTGTGCTAAAATACAAAAAATTAGCCGGGCGTGGTGGCAGGCAACTGAGTAGCCCCCACATACTCAGGAGGCTGAGGCAGGAGAAAGGCGTGAACCCGGGAGGCGGAGCTTGCAGTGAGCCGAGATAGCGCCACTGCACTCCAGCCTGGGCAACAGAGCGAGACTCCGTCTCAAAAATAAATAAATAAATAAATAATAAATAATAAATAAATAAAATATACAACATCATAGGATATCTTTTTGTACTGATCTATTTCATTTTCTTTGTATTCCCTCCTTTCAAATTTCCATAATAATGATATGCTTAAGGGGCTTTGAAGAATGACACTAAATTTTGCATGACTTTGTATTTCTCTGAGAAACTATTAAATAAAGTCAATATTCTAAAGGCGTTATGTTTTGATGCTATTTTCTCTGTGGAAAAATTTGCAGAACTTTTTGACTAATATTTGCTGGTTTGCTTAGCTTGTGTCCTAACTCTACTGCTATTAGCTGATATTTCTTCTTTTTTTTTTTTTTTTTTTTTTTGAGACGGAGTCTCGCTTTGTTGCCCAGGCTGGAGTGCAGTGGCGCAATCTTCTTGGCTCACTGCAAGCTCTGCCTGCCGGGTTCACGCCATTCTCCTGCCTCAGCCTCCCGAGTAGCTGGGACTACAGGCGCCCGCCACCACACCCAGCTAATTTTTTTTGCATTTTTATTAGAGACGGGGTTTCAGCATGTTAGCCAGGATGGTCTCGATCTCCTGACCTCGTGATCCGCCCGCCTTGGCCTCCCAAAGTGCTGGGATTACAGGCATGAGCCACCGCGCCCGGCCAGCTGATATTTCATAAGTCTCTAGTTTTAGCAGTTTTTGACTGCGACTGCTTCTGCTTCTGCAGTACAGAAATGTGTATTTGACCACCCGGAGTTGAAGTTGTTGAGCTGTCTCCTTTCCAAGAACAGAGTTAATATTATGATACCAAGGTAGCTATATGAATAGATATATGATACAACTCAAGTAAGTGAAAGAACTATAATCATTCTGGTGATTTTTTGTAAGCCACCAGTATTTTTTTTCTTAATATTTTACCTTGCGTGTTCTTGTGAGGGATGTAAGAGTATGAAGAACTGCACTGTTAAATGAATGATTTTCACTTCTTATCTGACATCCTGAATAAAACCATGCATACACTTACCCGGAAAATAATAATCTCTTGCATATTGACCAAGTTTTGACGACTTCTTTCACTGCAACTACTTTTTGCCTTAAAATAATATATGGCTTAGGTTAAACATTTATTTGAAAGCAGGAGTCTCTTGTCCTCCCTGTGTATATTTTAAGGTTTGGAGATATTAACTTTAACACTCAAATTTGGAACACCTGCAACACACCCAACTACTCCATTTGAACCAGACGGAGTATGTCATGATCAGAAGATTTCTGTATTTCATTTCGTGATGGACCATCTACCTGGAAATATTTTGCAAAAACTTGATTCCTAAATCCTGATTTGTTCTACGTGGTTACATATTGGGAGGGCTTCAGCCTAACCTTAAAATCTGGATCAACAGAATTTGGCAATAGCAGAGAAAAGAAAATCTAGCGGTAGCAGAAGATGAAACTTAACCACAGAAGCACTTTTAAGAGCTCCTGAAACATCTAATGTTGAAGTGAGGAAGGTAATGCAGAATGCCCAATAAGGTGTTCTAAATAGTTGAGTGTCTCTACCCTGGCCGGCCACTAATTCCCACTTAATTTATTGAATAAATCCTACAGGCCTTCTCTGAACCCATTACAAGAGAAAACAAAAAAACAAAAACAAAAACAAACAAACAAACAAAAAATCCAACACTGTTCTGCTGGCTAGTTTAAGCCAAAATGAAGAAACAACCTTCCAAAATCCTAGGATGCTGTCTTGGTGGCGATGGATATAATAAACCTATGTGACAAACTTTATTGTATCTACCAACCTCTATCTCATATTTGTTCTAAGCATGTCTTACAGTATAATTGAACTATATTGTTAAAAATTCAAATCTTCTGACTGGTCTCTGAGCTTTAAAAAACAAAATAAAGCAAAATATTGATCAAAATTCTCCAGGCTCTTTTTATCTGCTTGCAAATCACCATTCTCAGAGCAATGGCAACATGTAACATTTTAGAAGAGCACAGGTGATTTGCTTATATCACATCGTCTCTACCTTAGAGTTTGCAGAAAATAATTCACAGAACTCCCTGTGCATATCATTCCATACAATACAACTACAAATTTCAGTCTGATTATCTGTATAAGAGTTCTCCAGAGAAACAGAACCAGTTAGATATTGATACAGATGTATAGAAAAATATTCATTGTGACATATAGCCTCACCTGGTTATGAAAGTCCCACAATCTGCTATTTGCAAGTAAGAATCCCAGGAAAGAAGGTGGTATAGTTCCAGTCTAAATCTTCAGGCCTAAGAACAAGGGGAGACAAAGGTGGCATAGGTACTAGTACAAGTCTGAAGACTCAATCACAGTGTGATAGGGCTCAGGGGAAAGGTGTAAGTTCTGTTTTGAGTCTGGAGGCCCAAGAATCAGAAGTGTTTATGTCTGAGATCAGAAAATGGATGTCTCAGCTTCTCAAGCAGAGAAGTGAATTGGTCCTTCTTTTGAGTTGTTTGTTTTATTCAGGCCCTCAACTAGCTGGATAACACCATCACACTGGAGAGGGTGATTTTTCTTTACTGAGTTCACTAACTCAAAAGTATATCTTTTTTGAAAACATCTTCAGAGAAACACCCCAAAATAATGTTTCATCATCTATCTTTGCATCCTTTAGCCTATTCAAGTTGACAGTCATCATATTCTCTGCAGGTTCTGACATTACTAATGCTTCTCTTGGTCAGTTAAGTATTTTAAGTTCATCCTCCTCAGTAGTAATGTTGGGTCAAATTTTTATTTTGAACCAAGAACTTGTAAAAAGCTCACTCTTTGGTACTGGTGGCATGAAATGTCCTTCTGGTTGATTGATTATATTTACATATAGATAGATAAATATATATAATAGATAACATGTAATAGACGAAAACTTATGGATAGTTATGCACACTATAAACTTCGTTCAATTGTATTACTCATAAATATCTGATATTTAGTCTAATAACAATAGATAAATAAGCAAATAATTAAATATTATAATTACAACTATAGTTTTCTGAGAAATTTGTAAAAGGAAATTCTAAAGTAGTAAACCAACTGTGTGATGAAAACATAACAGGTAGAGACGATCATCTTAACATAGTTGGTCAAGAAAGACCTCTCTGAAGAGATGACACCTGTAACACTATAACAAGAGATGAAAAACATATTTAACATATTTTTCTAGTTCCTTTTTGGCTTCTATTTTTGGTGTATTGTTAGAAATCTAAACCATGTGTTCATGTGAATCAACCTCTATTTTAAAATTTCTGTTTCTGAAGTCTATGCAAGCTTTGCATTCAACAGTACACTTTTCCAATTAATAGACTTTCAATATGATTAAATTCAAAAGGAACTATTTCCACGAAAAGTGAGTGGTTTCTTTTTAGTTAAAGTGCTTTGACAGAGACAATTACTTGGGCAGGAGAAACTTGATTCAGAAATCATTATTATTTCACATAAGTTAAAGAAATTCCATGGCTCTCATTGTAGTCTGAAGGGAAGAAGTAGAGCAACATACATAAATGCCTCAAACTCAAATGCCTTAAAATACTTTAGCTGACGAATAAACTTGTTTCAATTAATTGTTTTTTCCAAGGGTTTTTTAATGACTTTTTAAAATAAAATATTGATTAATAAATGTAATTCTTAATATATTTTGGCTACCTATTTCACAGTCTAAGTGTCCTCATTTTCAGTATATAAACTGAGTTTGCATGAAAAAAGTCAGAAATATAAAATAATTAGAAAAGTTAAAGAATCGTGTTCAGCACTACTGTAATCACAACTGGATCTTTTTAGGTATTGTGTCTAAGTTTTAATTATACAATTAAAACAATGAAAAAAATAGAAATGATAACATTTAATATTATCAAATGCTGTATTCATTTAGTAGCAATATATGAAATTACAAACATTTCAGTTCTTAACCCTCTTATTTGTTCTACAGATGTTCTTTCTAAGACAAATCAGTGTTGGAAATTCAATGGGTTTTGAATATCAGTAAAATGGTAACCAACAACAACATCAACCAAAGAAAGCAAAAACCGGGCACTAACTGGATCACGGAAAAGACAATTGTTTGCACTATATCTGAAACAAAAGGACAGAGAATTGCCTTGTTCAACCTCAGCTGGGAATGCACATGTTCATGGGATGACAAATTTCCCACTCAACCTCTGCTGGGAACTCACGTGCATGGAGCCACTCAAATTTTTTTACTGCTTGCAAATTTCTAAAAATGAATGACCTGAAAAGCACCCCAGGCATTGATTTTGTGGCTACAAATAAACTTTGGGGAGTAAGCAAATTTGCAAATACAGAATCTGCAAATAATATGGGATTAACTATACACAAACATGCACATAAAATATTTACTTTTTTATATATATATACGTATATATGCACACATATATATGTGTATATATATATAATTTGCATCACATGACTGAGATAATTTGACAGTCAATAATTAACATGCAATACCACAACACATCTTGGAGAAATGAGGGCAAGGTATATCTATAGGTTCAATTTTTCTAATTTTCTTTGCTAGAATAAATGTGAATGATGTAAAGTTTGGGGAAAAAACAGATTATGCCAAGATTGCCAAGGCTCCAGCTATTTAGTAGTCAAGGGGCAGGCTTTGCTATATGTTTCTTTACTTTTAATTGCAGTACTTTTTTCCTCAAGTTTTATTACAAACACTAGCCTTATTAATATATATGCTGGTTGCTGAAAAGTTTTAGAGTTAGGAGAGAGAAAGTCTTTTACTTGAAACATTTATTTTGTTTCCTAGAAGAAGATTCACCACTTAGTGAAATAACAGAATTGATAATCCAGCATCAGATACACTTAAAAAGGAGGAAAACTCAAATTAAACTTAACAATATACTCCTAGAGAATTCATCAGTTTTAGTAACAATACTGAACAATTCAGCCTGATACATTTGCTAATAAAATGTATAAACATCATTGATTGTGATGAATTCACCAAATTCCACTGTCTCACTTCATCTTTTCATTAACACATTTAACTTAATGGTAGAAAAAGATATTTCTAATAAACAACACTTCAATAATTTCAAAACAGTTGCCTCGTATAAGCAATCTTATATACAACTTAATTAAAAGTATTGTTTGAATGTTTCAAGGCAAGAATTTTAATTATCTTAAAGCATGTTATCTTAAAATAAATGTGGAAATATGAGATAATTATGGATATCATTCCACATAAAATATACAGATACTAGACCAAATAATTTGAGTAAGATTAATACTATTTTTGTAGATAGGTTGTATAAATACACAAATAAGAGCACTTTGATAGATCTACATAATAAATAAATCAACATTACTAAGCTAACTAAATATTAATATACTGAGTAACAAATTAATTCAGATTAGAAGACAAGAATCAGCAATATATATTTACTCTGAATTGTACATCAATTTTAGAGGAATAACTTCAATATCAGACACAGGGTATATGTTTTATAATTAGATCTTTGTAGATATTAGAAGGAATGGGATAGAAAGAAAAAAGACTTAAAGTCTACAAAAACCCAGTACAATGGTGGTTAAACCCTAGGACTAGTTAAAAAAAAAAATGCAAAACACAAAACTACAGTTTTGAGTGGTTTTCCGCATTTTTAACTCACATTCAAGTAAAAATGTCATAACACTTTTTGTTCACATAGAATTGCAAGATCCAGAGATCTATTTCCAGTTCTCTCATTTTCATGAAAAAATTTGGATTAGATTTATATAGTAAGAAAGATGTTTAGCATTTCAAAACACATCTTTTATTTAGAGCATTTTTTGCTAAGAAGCCAGTATATCCAGCAGTTAGACAATGTATTTCATGGACTGGTCACAGAAAAATCAACAAATTTCACACTTTGACACGAATTATTGAAAGCAGCTGTAAAAATACAAATAATGTCAAATGCCTTTTGTATGTTTCTAATGAACAAAATGAATAAAAATAAAATGTATTGAAATGTGGAACTTAACATTTCTTTTCCATTTCACAAGGTCATATAAAACTACAGAAAGGCCAGGAGCGGTGGCTCACTCCTGTAATCCCAGCACTTTGGGAAGCCGAGAAGGGTGGATCACCTGAGGTCAGGAGTTCGAGACCAGCCTTGTCAACATGGTGAAACCCCATCTCTACTAAAAATACAAAAATTAGCCAGGCGTGGTGGCGTGCACCTGTAGTCCCAGCTACCCAGGAGGCTGAGGCAGGAGAATCACTATCACTGGAAACCGGGAGGCAGAGGCTGCAGTGAGCCGAGATCACGCCACTGCACTCCAGGCTGGGTGACAGAGCAAGCCTGTCTCAAAAAAAAAATCCAGCAATATGTCAGAATCTCAACTATTTAACTACAAACTGAATTTTTACGATACTATTTTCTGTATAAGAGTAGATGATTCTTGAATGTTTTATATAGTTATATTTTTGAAAAATGGTATGTATTTGTTGATTTTTCATTTTGTTTCAGTACGTTTGAATGTAAGCTTTTTTGACATTATGTACATATTTCTATTCTTTAAAACACAGAAAAATAAAAAAAATCCAAAACTTGAAAACATAAAATCATTCCTTAATATTGTGTTTAGTTACAAATGCAAAATAAAATTAAGACCACGAACACACATAAAATATTTATTCAATACAGTAATAAATAAGGGAACTAATAAAATAGTATATCTGGTTTAAATTCAGCAATAAAAAAGAAAGAAATACTAATGCATGCTGATACTTATAGATGAACCTTGAAAATGTTATGCTAAGTTAGAAAAATCAGTGGGAAAAACCCACATGATGTATGAATTGATTTATAGAAAATATCTAGAATAGGCCAATCTGTCGATTTGGGGGAATTAATAACAATAGGTGTGGGCTTTTTTAGAACATTTAAAAATGTTCTAAACTTGTTTGCATCGTTTACACAAATCTCTGAATGTGCTAAACACCATTGAATTGTGTCTTGAAATGGGTGAATTGTTGGTATGAAAATTATATCTCAACAAAGCTGTTGTATACGAAAAGAAAACCTAAGTTATGGAGTTCTGCATAGTCTGTCGAACACATGCTGGTATAAATTTTCTAACAAAAATAGCGGTTAATAAAATTATAAACTTTAGCAATTTTTTTTCCTACTCACAGAAATCTACAAGTTTACATGTAACTTGATAGTGAGTGGGATTTAATCAAACAGTGAATAGCAAAGTCAAACATAGGACTCTCCTCTTAGAAAATTAAGCAATTATGGAATAGACTTATTAAAAGAGTTTCCCAGAAGATATATAGGAACCTACTTACTCTGGATATCAGTTTTAAATATTGTATTTTTCCTTAGCAACTATAAGAAAAAAAATGCATGAAAAAAAGCTGATTAGTAAAGAGCTGGTATGTTGAAGTTAATTGTTTATATTATTACTAAATATACTTTTTTACATTTCTTTTTTTTTTTTTTGAGACGGAGTCTTGCTGTATCCCCCAAGGCTAGAGTGCAGTGGCTCTATATCTGCTCACTGCAACCTCTGCTTCTCAGGTTCAAGCAATTCTCCTGCCTCAGCCTCCTGAGTAGCTGGGATTACAGGCGCGCACCACCACGCCCGGCTAATTTTTGTATTTTTAGTAGAGACGGGGTTTCACCATGTTGGTCAGGCTGGTCTTGAACTCCTGACCTCATGATCCACCCGCCTTGGCCTCCCAAAGTGCTGGGATTACAGGTGTGAGCCACCGTGCCTGGCCCTTACATTTATTTGCTTATTTCAAAGTTTTAGAAAACTTTTATTAACAACCTCTCTCCCTCTTTTGTGATCATATGGAATCTCCAAAGGTAGTTCTTGATTCTGCACACTGCATTAGGGTTCTCCAGACAAAAAGAACCTGTGTGTGTGTGTGTGTGTGTGTGTGTGTGTGTGTGTGTGTAACTGAACCTTGAAACCTATATATGTATGTAAATATACATTTATTATGGGAATTGGCTTACACAGTTTTGGAGGTTGAGAAATCCCAGTCAGTCACCTGCAGGTTGGAGAATCAGGAAGGCCAATAGCAATGCAATCTGGAGCTGAAGGCCTTAGAACCAATGGTGGAGTGTTAATGGTAGACATTTTGTTCTGATTCCAAAAGCCCAAAATCCAAGAGTGTTACTTCCGAGAAGAGGAGATTATGGATATCCCAGCTCAAACAGAGAGCCAGGGCAAATTGCTCTTTATTCACCTTTGTGTTCTATTCAGGCCATCAATGGATTAGATGATGCCTGCCTACATAGGTAAGAACAATTTTCTTTACTCGGTCTACTTATTAAAATGCCAATATAATCCAGAAATATCTTCACAGATGCACTTAGAAATAATGCTTTACTCTAATCCCAGCACTTTGGGAGGCCGAGGCGGGTGGATCACGAGGTCAGGAGATCGAGACCATCCTGGCTAACATGGTGAAACCGCGTCTCTACTAAAAATACAAAAAATTAGCCGGGCGTGGCGGCGGGCGCCTGTAGTCCCAGCTACTCTGGAGGCTGAGGCAGGAGAATGGCGTGAACCCGGGAGGTGGAGCTTGCAGTGAGCAGAGATCGCGCCACTGCACTCCAGCCTGGGCAACAGAGCAAGACTCCGGCTCAAAAAAATAAAAAAGAAATAATGCTTTACCAGCTATCTGCACACCCTTTAGCCAATCAAGTTGACACATAAGAATTAATCGTCAGACAAACACACAAACACACATAGAGAACACACTACTCCCATTTTATTTTGTACACAATTATTTACATAGGTGCAGCAAAAACTGATAATTAGCACATATGAACCTTGTCAAAAATAACTTACTGAACAAACTGAGACGAGAAAGTTAACCTATGTGTAGAAATTTTTGTAAGGAATCTTGGCTGGATGTTAAAATCACTCTGTTATTTGACTCTTCTATCGCAAGTCTATGTAACCACACTCAAGAATCTCTGTTCAGAAGGTCCTACAGAAATATAAATAAGTTTGAGGAAATTAATCTCCTCCTCTTGCTGTTTCTCAAAACTTTGAAGGCCCCAGGACCACTAGCAAGTGTTCCTTACAAATTATGAGGCTGAATCCCTATAATTTGGATACCAGGTGAGTTTCTCAGGAAAGGCTTTGTAAGCAATGAGTCACATAATGTAACACTCTTGCTCTTCAGAACTCAGCTTGTTCCCGGACCTAACCGAGGGTTGGGCTGCTTATTATCCAGGCCCAATAACAAGATAAGACAAACTGGGAGAGAAGAGAGCTTTTATTTCTGTAATTGGTTACAGGGAGAAGGCCTGGAAAATATCACCAGACCAACTCAAAATTACAGAGATTTCTAGAGCTTATATACTTCCAAGCTCTATGTCTATTTGTAAGTGTTCCTTCATCTAAAGACATAAGTGATTAACTTTTTTTAATCTATAAGTAAGGTCTGAGTCCTGAAGACAGTCCTCTGGAACCTCAGTAAATTTACTTAATCTAAATGAGTCCAGGTGCTGGGATGATTACCCTTATCTTGTCTCCTGCTAAATCATGGAGGTCTGGGGAGTTCCTTCAGACCCCCAATAAACTTGTTTGTGGAGGCCTGGGGAGTTGATTCAGAAACCCCCCTGCCCCCGCCAATAAAACTTGTTTAATCATAAACAGGTCCTGTTAAGAATTCCTTCGTTATTTTGTCATGCTTTAAGGCCCAGGAAAGGCCAAGTCAAAACTCCTGGTGGGCTTTTGTTACATTCCAGCCTTTGTATAAGGGTGCTGGCTCTTTCAGCTTTTAATATTTAACTTCACTACTCAGTACTGAAATAGTTGTTATGGAGGCCTGAGTTAGTGAGACCTGGCCTGCCACAAGCTCATACCTGATTGAATGAGCTCTATTCCCCACATGGCCTTCCAGGATTAGCCTTGATTCCTGGTTCAAAATTATTTGAACAACTATTTCCTGTTAAACAGGTAAAGAGATTCTTATTAAATGTACTCAACTTCCCAAGAAAAGTACTGAGACCCCATAAAATAATTTTTCTTCTGAATACCGAGAAATCAGTAACAATATGATAGTGTCTAGCAATCTCTATTTTAGCTTAAAATTAAAGTCTACTAAGTTAAGGTTTAGAGACAGCTAACAAATATGAAGTATTTTCTTACATACCCAAATGTTGTATAGATGGACTAATAATGACCCCTGTTTACTTTTTCACAGTTATTAGAGACTGTTAGGTCAAAAGTCCACCAGCACCAAACTCAAATTTGAACACATTTAACTGATTTACATATAGATCAAATAAGCACATCTTCTAGGAATAGGTAAGATCACCCGTGAGGCTGTAAAAGATTCCAAGTTACTGCTACCCTTCAGAGCTCTATAATTTTGCTGCTGCGCAATATCACCTCTCTATGTAAGCCTCCTCTCTAATTCCCCTCTCCTTCAGGACTTTCTTTGCCCTCTGGTCTTTTTGAGTGATGGCCTCAGGCTACTGTCTCTGGAAAGTCTCCTGCTATGACTGACACTTCTTTCTATGCAAACTTACCAAAATACCATTCCAAAAAAAGCTCATTCTGTTTTACTGGGAGGTTGTGATTGTTTTTTTCTTGCTCAGTACCAAAATCCCCTAACTAACTGTATATATCATCAGAAAATAGAGCATTAAAAATAATTCCAGGCCGGGCGCAGTGGATCATGCCTGTAATCCCAGCTCTTTGGGAACCAGAGGCGGGCGGATCACAAGGTCAGGAGATTGAGACCATCCTGGCTAACACAGTGAAACCCCGTCTCTACTAAAAACAGAAAAAATTAGCCGGGCGTGGTGGTGGGCGCCTGTAGTCCCAGCTACTCGGGAGGCTGAGGCAGGAGAATGGCGTGAACCCGGGATGCGGAGCTGGCAGTGAGCCAAGATTGTGCCACTGCACTCTATCCTGGGCGATAGAGTGAGACTCCTTCTCAAAAAAAAAAAAATAATAATTCCAATTATGTTTTAAAAAGCATATATATCCCTCATCAATCGATTCAGTCTTATGTAATAAATTGTTTCACTCTATCTTAATATACATATCTTTTTAAGTGAAGTCATTTAATCTGTGTCTGGACTTAAATGAGTCCTAGAAATCTTAACTCAGCTTGGAAGTTTCTTCCCAGGAGCCTGTCCTTTAAAGTATCAGTATATTTGGTACATTCCCTGATGTTAAGAGACCAGTCTTATTTTTCAAAGACACGTATTTTGCCTGGAGCTTATAGCAGAGCCTCCAGGCAAACCTCCAAGGAAAGAGTAAACCACTTGCTGGATGATACAACTAAATAGTAATGATTAATTTGTTATAGTAAGCAATACTATCAAAATGGAAAAAGTGTCTCTTTAGAAACATAATAAAAATTAATTATGATGAACTGGATCATTATTTTCTTAATAAATAAAAGGAAGGCATACAATATATTATTCATAACATGCATCTGGAAAAATTGACAAACTTTAACAAATTACAAAAAAACCCTATCAAAAAGCTTTTTTGTTCCATCAATATTTGAACACATTCCACCTTTTTTATATCAGGCATTATAAATAAAGGCCAATAAAATTTGCTTTTGTCATGTATTTTACAATTGGCCATTGATGCTTAGCTTTAATCTGTCACTGTTTTCACTATTTTTATTTTTTTTAATATTATGTGGAAAATATCATCTAACTTTAGGAGAAGACTTGCGTTTTTCTTCTTGGAAAGGAAAATACATACTTATACCTTGGATACACAGAATATATAGCTGTTGTGAGTACTTCTAGTATGTTATCAATCAACCACACCAATTATCACTTGTCCTATGTAACTTACTTTTCTTTCTGGGAGAAAACTAGGATGTATGTAACTGTATGAATATGTATAATGTATAATAACTGTGTAAATATCAGATTAGCAAAGCCCATTATGACTAATCATTTGATCATCCAATTCCATACATAAGCTTTTTCCACTTGTTAAAAGCAGCAGAATAATATATACTCATTAACAGAACCAAAAATAATAGGAGCTCTGGATACATAAAAGTAAGAAACAAAACCACAAGAATTAAAAAATCATGTTTGATTATTAAAGATCCAGTGATATGGTTTGGCTCTGTGGCCACACCCAAATCCAATGTTAAATTATAATTCCCAATGTTGGGGAAGGGACCTGGTGGGAAGCGATTAGATCATGGGGTGGATTTCCTCCGTGCTATTTTCATGATGGTGAGTGAGTTCTCATGAGATCTGTTTGTTTAAAAGTGCGTAGTACTTTCTCCTTCATTATCTTTCTCCTGTTGCCATGTGAAGAGGTGTTTGCTTCTCTCCCGCCCTTCCACCATGATTGAAGTTTCCTAAGCCCTCCCCAGCCATGCTTTCTGTACAGCCTGTAGTACTGTGAGCCAATTAAACCTCTTTTCTTCATAAATTACCCAGTCTCAGGTAGTTCTTTATAGCAGTGTTTGAACAGACTAATACAGAAAATTGCTACTAGAGAAGTCGGATACTGATAAAAAGATACCTGGAAATGCGGAAATGACTTTGGAACTGGGTAATGGGCAAAGATTAGAACAGTTTGGAGGAACCAGAAAAAGGCAGAAACATGAGGGAATGTTTGGAACTTCCTAGAGACCTGTTGAATGGTTTTGACCAAAATGCTAATAGTGATATGGACAGTAAAGTACAGGCTAAGGTGTTCCCAGATGGAAATAATGAACTATTGAGAACAGGAGCAAAGGTCCCTCTTGCTATGCTTTGGCAAAGAGACTGGTGGCCTTGTCCCCCTGCTCTAGAGATCTGTGGAACTGTGAACTTGAGAGAGATGATTGAGGGTATCCGGCAGAAGAAATTTCTAGGCAGCAAAGCATTCAAGATGTAGCCTGGCTGCTTCTGAGAGCCTTTGCTCATTTGCAGAAACAAAGAAATGACCTGCAACTAGAACTTATATTTAAAAAGAAGCAGAACATAAAAGTTTGAAAATTTGCAACCTGGCTATGTAGTAAAAAAGAAAAACCCATTTTCTGGGGATGAATTCAAGTCTGTAGTAATTCGCATAAGTAAAGAAGAGCTTAAAGTTAATAGCCAAGACAATGGGAAAAATGCCTCCAGAGCATTTCAGAGAACTTTGTGGCAGCCCCTCCCATGATAAGCCAGGAGGCCTAGGAGGAAAAAATGGTTTTCTAGGCCAGGCCCAGGGCCCTGCTGCTCTGTGCAGCCTTGGGACATGGTGCCCTGTGTCCCTGATGCTCCAGCTCCAGCCCTGGCTAAAAGGGGCTAAGGTACAGCTTGTGCCATTGCTTCAGATGGTGTAAGCCCCAAGCCTTGGGAGCTTCCACATGGTGTTGGTCCTTTGGGTATACAGACGGCAAGAGTTGAGGTTTGGGAGACTCTGCCTAGGTTTCAGAGAATGTGTGGAAACACCTGAATGTCCAGACAGAAGTCTGCTGCAGGGGTGAAGCCTTCATGGAGAACCTCTATTAGGTCAGTGTGGAGGAGAAATATGGGGTTGGAGCCCCCACAGAGAGTCCCCACTGGGGCACTGCCTAGTGGAGCTATGAGAAGAAGGCCACCATCCTCCAGGCCCCAGAATGGTAGATCCACAGACAGCTTGCATTGTGTGCCTGGAAAAGCCGCAGGCACTCAGCAACAACCTATGAAAGCCACTGCTCGGTCTGTAACCTGCATAGCCAGAACAGACAGAGCTGCCCAAGGCCTTGGGAACCCACCACTTGCATCACTGTAGCCTGGATGTGAGACATGGATACAAAGTAGATTATTTTGGAGCTTTAACATTTAATGACTGCCCTGCTGGGTTTTGGGCTTGCATGATGCCTGTAGCCCCTTTGTTTTGGCTAATTTCTCCCTTTTGAAATAGGGGAATTTACCTAATGCCTGTATCCCCATTGTATCTTGGAAGTAACTAATTTTTTTTTTTTTTAAGGCTCAAAGTTTGAAGAGACTTGCCTTGTCTCAGATAAGACTTTGGACTTGGACTTTTGAGGTGATGCTGGAATGAGTTAAGATTTCAGGGGACTGTTAGGAAGACATGATTGTGTTTTGACATGTGAGAAGGACATGAGATTTGGAAGGGGTCAGGGGCAGAATGATAGTATTTGATTCTGTGTTCCCACCCAAATCTCATGTCAAATTGTAATTCCCATTGTTGGGAGTGGGACCTGGAGGTAAGTGATTGGATCATGGGGACAGATTTCTCCATTGCTGTTCTCAGGATAGTAAATAGGTATTTATGAGAGATGGTTGTTTAAAAATGTGTAGCTCTTCTCATTTCACTCTCCTGCTGCCATATGAAGATGTACTTCCTTCTCCTTCACCTTTCTGTCATTATTGTAAATTTCCTGAGATCTCCCCAGCCATGCCTCTTTTATAGACTACTGTGGAACTGTGATTCAATTAAACCCCTTTTCTTTTTAAATCATCCAGTCTCAGGTAGTTTTTTATAGGAGTGTGAGAACAGACCAATACATTCAGGCATTTATATTAATTAGAAATCACACAAATACCTAAAAAGTATTTGTTACTAAAGGCAATAATATTCTAAAGTTTTAAATTTAACTAATAATCTTAAAAAATATCTTTTAGGCCTGGCACGGTGGCTCATGCCTGTAATCCCAGCACTTTGGGAGGCCGAGGTGGGCAGATCACAAGGTCCGGAGATTGAGACCATGCTGCTAACACAGTGAAACCCCGTCTCTACTAAAAACAGAAAAAATTAGCCGGACGTGGTGGTGGGCGCCTGTAGTCCCAGCTACTCGGGAGGCTGAGGCAGGAGAATGGTGTGAACCCAGGGGGCGGAGCTTGCAGAGAGTGGAGATCATGCCACAGCTATCCAGCCTGGGTGACAGAGTGAGACTCCATCTCAAAAAAAGAAAAAAAAATCTTTTAGCTGACTCACAATGGAACCTAACTACTATTGATATCACTCATTCTAGTGCAATTTGCAATCTATCATGTGCAACATGTTACTATTTTATAATGTTAAACATTGTATAGTAGTAATTTCAGCTGATCTAATAAGTTAAGCATAACTAATATGTTTATGAGAAAACAATTTAAATATTATGATAAAAAATGTTTTTAAATTATTCCCTACAATGATTAAATCAGAGAAAGACACACAGATGTGTATTTATTCAATTTTACAAAATAATTTTTAAAAGAATGATTTGTGTAAAGATTGAACCTAATTTTTTTTTCTTTTGAGATGGAGTCTCCCTCTGTCACCCAGGCTGGAGTGCAGTGGCGCTATCTCAGCTCACTGCAAGCTCCACCCCACGGGTTCACGCCATTCTCCTGCCTCAGCCTCCGGAGTAGCTGGGACTACAGACACCCGCCACCACGCCCAGCTGATTTTTTTGTATTTTTAGTACAGACGAGGTTTCACTGTGTTAGCCAGGATGGTCTCGATCTCCTGATCTTGTGATCTGCCCGCCTCGGCCCCCCAAAGTGCTGGGATTACAGGCGTGAGTCACCGTGCCTGGCCTCAACTTAATTTAAAAACTTATATTATTATAAAAAATCAATCTAAACTTTCACTATCTCAGAGGATAATTTTTTTTAATGTTGAATATATTTAAACATAAAAGATTTAATGTCTTTAGTTTCCTGGAAATTCTGTAAATAGTAGATTTATCAAGAGTATATTAATCTTCATAAACATCACAACAAAGCTTATTTTGAGAGATTTCTAAAATAATCAACTTAACAATATTATGCAGAAGTAAAAAAACCTCAAGTGATATACACAAAGAAAAGAACTTTAAATAGCAACCATATGAAAATATAGTTCTTTAACCTCAGCTATGGCTTAAGTATAAACTGAAAAACTCAATGCACCAGATCTTAAAGGGCAGCTTGAAATATTTTCTTCTCACAAATGGACTAACAGACCATAAAAAAGTCTAACACACCACTTTTATTTTGTCTTTCCTCTGAGATAGAATAGATAACTATCATCTAGAAAGAAGGTCACCATGTGGTCAAACCAAAAATATTAATTTGCAAATATTCTGGCACCTATATGAAATTATTTGTTATGCACAAACATACATTAGAATGAATCTTGACCCAAGACTAAAAAGACTTGGAATTCACTTATAGGAGCAAAACAAAACAATAAATAAATAAATAAATAAATAAGCAAATTAGCTATCTCTACAAAAGAAGTTAAATCGAGCTATCAAGACTCAGATAAGATAGATAGATAGATAGATAGATAGATAGATATAAAAAAAGTGACAGAGAGAGAGGGAGCAAGAAAGGCAGAAAGAGAGAGAAAGAGACAGAGAGACAGAAAGATTGAGGGGATCTGTGCTGGAAAAGTCCACGAGGTTTACTTTTCTAGTAAAATTGGTTCTGACAGCTGAGTCCACTTGGATATCTTGGGAGATGACCTGTAAAACCACCCAAGTATAACTTTCAAAAAGTTAAAAATATGACTTTCATACAAAATAGAAGAAGCCAACGTTGAAATTTATTTAACCCTTTAATTGGTTATGGAATAGGTAGTATTTGTGAACTAGTTCAAAAATATATTAGAGGAACAGAAATTTATGTATTCAGTAATTCTAAGGAGTGTTTAAATTAACTTGCTTAATGCAATACTGGTTAATATCTAACCAGGTAGCAATATCAATATTTTTAGAGATATGTCTTTGTTAGACAGAAATCCACAAAGTAATATTTAGGTTATAATTAAATAATAAATAGCAAAGCCAAAAAACTGGTAAATGTTCTTAGAGGCTTAAATATTTTGGGGGAGGCCATATGAACTGAGGTATTCTTTGTTATACTTAAAGGGTAATTGTATACAATTTGACTTCTAAGTTTTGAATAATTTTCTTAAAAATTATAAATGAAAAATATAACTAAATTTTCAAAGAATAGTTGATATGTATAATTTTTTTACCATTTTCAATTTAATATTTATTTACACATCCTCTTATAATATTTTTATTCAGTAGAAGCATGTTTAAAAGTTATAAGAAAAACAGTCATTGTAAGAAAGACATTGTAAAGTTATCTGGATAGCCAAAATTTTGGTTAATTATGGAGAATCCTGTATTCATGGGCCGATAGTTTTCTCACAAAGGATAAATGGCTACAAAAAATTATCCTCTTTCAGAAAATAAATATAAAACTGGAAAATATGTTAAAAAATCCTTGTATATTTGGACAACAGGCAGAGCAGGTCTGTGATATCTGAATTAATTAATATATTTAAGCTCTGTGTTTAACCTAACTTACTGTCTGAAAGCAATTTCCAAACCACAGCAGAAAGAAAGGAAGCAGTGCCCCACGATCTCACTGAGTTGAGAAGACATAAATCAGATTTGGGGAGGGTAAGATACTAGATTTTGTGTAGCAGAATATCATGGAAGAGAGAGATTCAAAGATAGCTACAGAAATCAATTGTTGGATCTCCTTGAATCTTTGGCTACAGATTCAACCATACATATGTGGAGAGTAACTCCATGATGATAGTGAAGGACTCACCTGCTTACATAGTAAGCAGCCTATGTAAACTGAAAAGTATCTAAGATGGATCTCAATCAATTTAGAGGTTTATTTTCACAATGTTTAGGATCATGACCTGTGACACAGCCTGAGGAGCACCTGAGAACATGTGACCAAAGTGGTTAGGTTGCGGCTTGATTTTATACATTTTAGAGAGACCAAACTTCCATGCAAAGACATAAATCAATACATGTAAGTTATACATTGGTTCAGACAAGAAAGGTGGGCCATCTTGAAGTGGGGTGGGGTAGCCAGGAGCTTCCAATTCATAGGTGGTTTCAAAGATTTCCTGACTGGCAACTGGTTGAAAGGATTAAGCTCTGCCTAAAGAGTTGAAATCAGCTCAAGTTAAGATAAAAGGGAAGGAAATGTGGAAGACAAAGCTCTTGTCATGTAGAGGAAGCCTCCAGGTAGCAGACTTCAGAGCGAATGTCTCTTATCAAAGCTGTGAGATTCTGTGGAGAAAGCTAGTAAGGAAAGAAAATTACCTACAGAATGCAATTTTCTCCCACAAGAAAAAGTTTTGCAGGGCCATTTAAAAAGATGTCAAAGAAAAATATTTTAGGGTAAAATACTTTGATTTTCTTTTAGAGTGTGTTATCCTCATGTGATGTTATACCAGAGTCAAGTTGGAATTGGTATCTTATTGCCACAAAGAGTCTATTCTGTAAAAATCTCTACTTTAGTGTTAATGCTGGTTAGTTGTGACTGAACTCTACAGTGAGGAGAATAAAATAAAGCATGTTTGACCTCTCCTTCCCATCAGGGCCTGAAGAAGGTTTTCAGGTTTCTTTGTGTCCCCGTGCTGAAGGCTCGGGTCAATTCAGTCATTGCGGGGTTTATCGTTTTTGTTGTTGTTGTTTACACTGACTACACAATTTTTGGAGTTCATAGATGGTGGGAATAGTTGCAGTTCAACCAGTGAAAGTGGAGAGATCTGAAAAGACACAGAAATTTTGGTGAAGAATCCAAAATAGTAAATTTTTATAAAAGGTCTAAATCCTTGAGTAAAAATTGTAGTAGACTCACTCTGACAAACCTTAGAGGGAGCCATAATCTTTTAAGCCACACGTTTAAAAGATTAAACACATCCCAAGTGATTTTATAGTCAAACAAAATCAAACACTCTTTGAAAGATACAACAAATTTCAACATTCAACAACATAAATTTTACTTTATCAAACTTTGAATCTCCTTCTCTTCAAAGGATACCGTCTTACAAGAAAAAGGCCGGAAAAACACTGAGAGCAATAAAACAATTCTAAATAAATGAACAAAATATTTGAAGACACATATCAAAGATAATATACATGGATGACAACTAAGTATGGAAAAGATATCAAACACGTTAATCTTTGGGGAAATGCAAGTTACTCACAGTGCAATTCAAACATATACTCTCTAAAATGGCTAAAGTTAAAAAGTCTGTGAAAAGGAAGTAAGGCATTACAATTATGAAAATTAATTTTCTTGGACTAAGCTATATTTACCCATAGTACAAAAAGCATTGTGGGTAAATATCCTTTGTGAAAATTAGACATGAGACCAGTAAATATATGCTACATTTCCAAACACAATACAGTGACAACTTGGCAAACTTTTGAGATTTCCAAGGCATAATTAATGTATACGCTTCAGGAATACTCTGTTCTAGTCACTAAACTATCTTAAGAAAAGGATATGTAAATAATGGAAAGGAAAAAAAAATGGCGCAATTTACTTGAAGACATCATCACCTAACTTGTAAACACAAAATAACTGCTAATCTATTGAAAGTATTACCCGAGTTCAATTACTTGTCCAAAACCAATATGATCATAAAAGTAACAAGTGTGAGAAAAAATAATATGAAAGGACTAGATTTAAGTGATTTTATTTCTTATTAAAAATGAAAAGACTGACAATATAGAAAATCATAACATGTTTCCATGGGGATAATTAATTATTGAAAATTGTCCATTTGGCCTCAAATTCACTTCTAAACATAATAAAAATGCCACCAAACAAAAATTTTTAAATCTTTCGGGACATGATTACAGCATTATAAAGTTAACCTGGAAAGGAAAATGTGTACATCACATAATGGAACATCAAGTCATGAGAGTGAGTATGTGCAATATGATATAGAAAATGGCATCACTCTGGTTCAGAGCTCTAAAACGGAGTTGGGAAGCCGTTCTAAGAAGGATTGCCTGCATGTCCTGCAAACTTGCAAAAAATCTAGGAACTCGCCTTGAACCATTGACCTGGGTCAAATCACAGTAACCCGAACACACTGGAAACAGTGGAATTTTGCCAGTGCTGCAACATCTGAACAGCAACAATCAATGAACTATGAACTCATGAACTAAGCTGGCCATCTCGCCAAATGATAATTCTTTCAAAAAAACTGCAATCGCCCTCACCCTCCTTTTTATTTTCTCTTAAAAATACTCTTCTCCCCTCTCTCTCTTAAGAATACAATTAGACTTCTAGTTGAATCACTATCTCCCAAATTGCAATTCCAAATACCACAATAAAGGCCTTGTCTTACTGCATTGCAATCTGATCTTTTGCCTCTCTTGGTTGACAAATGCCACAAAGAATAGCAGACAGTGAGGACAGAGTCTTCAGTTAATCTGATAACAACAGTTGGCTAAACTAAGGGGCACCATCAAATGAGACTTGGATGAAGCACACAAGTACTGTGGGAGGCTGAGGCAGGTGGATCAACTGAGGTCAGGAGTTTGAGACCAGCCTGGCCACTATGGTGAAACCCTATCTCTGGTAAAAATATAAAAATTAGCCAGGCATGGTGGTGTGTGCCTAAATCCCAGCTAGTCTGGAGGCTGAGGCAGGACAATCATTTGAACCCAGGAGGCGGAGTTTGCAATGAGCCGAGATTGTGCCACTGCACTCTGGCCTGGGTGACAAAGTGAGAATTCATCTGAAAAAAAAAAAAAAAGCCATTGGAGTTTGCCTGTACAAAAGTTGAAACAGCTGTAGGGCCTATGGATTATGGAAGCTTCTCTCTTTTTTTTTTAATTGGAAGTACATTAGTTTGCTATAGAAGGTAGGCACTTTATTAGTGAGGATGATGATTCAGTAAAGGAGACATAGATGTTTGTGAATATAGAGGCCCCTTGCAGTGGGTGTGTAAGAAAAATACAAAACTCAATTATTAAATTATTAAAGGTGAAGATATTAAATGAACATATGTGTTATTGTAATGGCCAACCACATTAGTCCAAAATCACTATGAAGGATGACAAGAGTAGGGAGGAAGAATTAATCAGTCAAGGGGCAAACATTAGTTAAACAGAGTTAAAAAGGAGAGGGAGTGACTAACATTCTTAAAATTGCCAATGAGTACAAAAATGAGCTATTATCTTTACTCTGATTACTTCTCTGATTTCTTTTTCTACTCACTTTTCCTCATTCTATTTCTATCACTTGAAACACTTTTTCCAAAATATCTGGCCATTTTTGGTCTATGCTCAATGGTACTTTCTCTCTGAGAGCTACACAGACTACACTACCTAAAATTTCAAACATGCATCTCCAACTACACATCTTCCCTTGCCATATTTTACTTTTTCCCTACAAAAGTTATTTTCTAACAAATCTATTAATTTCATTGTTTAGCATCTTTCTCCATCCACTAGATTGTAAACTTCATGAGAAGATAACAGTAGTGGCAGTGCATAATTAGATGGCCTGAGCTTCAAATAAAGGAATAAGAGTAACTTAGAAGTGCCAGTGAGAAATGTTTAAGACAAGCAATCTATCTTCTGCCATGAAACTTGAAAAACGATCATAAATCTCAGCAGGAAAGACTGAAGACCTATTCCATGGCATATGGTTTTCTACTGGGGGCAGTAGGTAAAGGAAACACTCTGAGAAGATGAAAATACAGAATGGCTTAGGGATCGCTCCAAACAACACAGTGAAACTTTTGTTAGGATGTAGAGCCTTGGGGAAATGGTTTCGATTAGGTACTATACACATTGGTATGAGAATGAGGGTTGCGGAGAGATAGATGACCTGAAAGTATTAATTTTTGTTAAAGTATAAAATAAACAGGTAGGTGAGGAAGGACATCTTGAGTTTTGATGCTTTCATGGAGAAAGTCCAGCAGACGATTCAATATTTGCTTTTGAATGTTTAGTTCTGAGCAAAGTTAGTGACATTTGGAATAAATGTGCTTTCTTGTGAGATCAATTTAATGCTTAATATATAAAGGTGTGTTTAAACAACCAGTAAAAGAAGAGTAATACTGCTGGACGCAGTGGCTTACGCCTGTAATCCCAGCACTTTGGGAGGCTGAGGCAGGCGGATCACGAGGTCAGGAGATCAAGACCATCCTGGCTAACATGGTGAAACCACGTCTCTACTAAAAATACAAAAAATTAGCCAGGCGAGGTGGCGGGCGCCTGTAGTTCCAGCTACGCAGGAGGCTGAGGCAGGAGAACGGCATGAACCCGGGAGGCGGAGCTTGCAGTGAGCCGAGATCGCGCCACTGCACTCCAGTCTGGGCGACAGAGCAAGACTCCATCTCAAAAAAAAAAAAAAAAAAAAAAAAAGAAGAGTAATACTTCAGTAAATTGTTCTTTGTTGGGACAATATGTTTGGACTAATTCCATAGTAAATTCATTATTTATTTACAATGTTTTATAACTACATGGATTGTTAATAGAATTATGTTTTGTCATCTGTAAGATAAGACTATTTCTTAATTACCTTCAGGTTATACATTTTTTTCAAATTTATTTTACTAGTATTAAATGGCATCATCTCACAGACAAATAATAGAAAATATTTTCTCTCTCCTGAATGAAAGGATCTACCTTAATTGAGGAATTAGTTCATGTAAAGGAATAATAATGTTTATCTTTATTAAAGTATATTAAATATACTTTAAACATTGCTACTCTTGTTGGTTTTTTATTTTAGTTTTTTTTTTAAGACAGGGTCTCACTCTTTTGCTCAGGCTGCAGTGCAGTGACATGACTATAGCCCACTGCAGCCTTCAACCCCTGGGATCAAGACATTCTCATGCCACAGCCTCCTGAGTCGCTAGGACTGCAAGCACAGACAAGCATGCACCATTCTGTCTAGATAATTTAAAACAAATGTTTTGTACAGATAAGGTCTTACTGTGTTGCCCAGGCTTGTCTTGGACCCTTGGCCTCAAGCAACCCTCCTGCCTTGGCCTCCCAAAGACTTGGGATTGTAGGCCTGAGCCACCAAACCTGGCATATTACTGTTGATAGACTGAAAAACATCTCTAAATGGCACAAAACTATGGCTACCTTTTCATCATTATCTTTTAAATGATTGTCAATTTGTAGGCTAATTTTAGAAGAGATCCTGATTGGGTGGCTTTTACTGTAATCTCTTTATAAAATATAAACTTTGTATGATATTTAAATTTGTTACAGATTTTGTAGTGATTTTATTTGATTTCTAAACTAATTATCAGTCTTCAACAATATACAATTTTGAATACTTTATAATGCAATAATTTTTGTTAATTTGTGAATATAAGGAGAAAGACAAGCTGTTTTGGATATATTTATTTTGAGAAACGGTATGTTATTTAGTCATATTTCTTAGTATTAACTACACTTTGAAATAGGCTTGGTACTTAGAAATTGTACCAAGTTCATTAAAGAAAATATGTTATAAGTTCACAAAATGAATAGGATCAATGATGTTATATAAAATACTAACAATGTATATTTGTTGTATAAAAGGATACATATAAAATGAGTTCTTTGAGATTATGATCTAAATTTTATTTTTCTTATTGGCCTGATTATTTTAATTCAATATATTAAAACTGATAAACACCAACTCTGCTTTGGAGGAGTCATTCCAAAATTTAAGCCCTTGGACACTAAAACCCTTGTTAAACTCACTCAAATAGTTCATCTTGCTTGTCATTTACAGAGCTGAACTTACAATTTTTACCTATTTTCTCTCCCATTCAGGAGATTAGCCAATGACAATTTCATGCCTAGTGTTGTTTGTTTGTTTGTTTGTCTGTTTGTTTGTTTGTTTGTTTTTTGAGCTGGAGTCTTGCTCTTACACATCCAGGCTGGAGTGCAGTGACACAAGCTCGGCTCACTGCAACCTCTGCCTCCTAGGTTCAAGCAATTCTCCTGCCTCAGTCTCCCAAGTAGCTGGGATTACAGGCACACCACCACCACCACCACACCTGGCTAATTTTTTTGTTTTTATTTTTACTATAGACAGAGTTTCATCATGTTGGGCAGGCTGCTCTCGAACTCCTGACCTCAGGTGATCCACCTGCCTTGGCCTCCCAAAGTGCTGGGATTACAGGCATGAGCCTCTGCGCCCAGCCTCATGCCTACTGTTTTAATATGTTCAATGATGTTTTCTCCCTAGGTCTGTGCACAGAGATATAAACAGACCTGATGACAACATCAGTTCTATTTCACCAGCTTCATATCGTATCATACTTCTGGCTCATAGTCTCCTTTATTAAGGCAAAATAATGGCATTGCTTTTTCCTATAAGATGACCCTTCACGTAAGTTTACAGGTTATTTAAAATATTTTACTGTTGTCCAACAAGGAAAGGAAAGTAGCATACAATTAGCAAATGTATGTATAAGCCCGGGGATAAGAAAACAAATAAAGCCTGTTCCATCCTTGAGGTGTGGTTTCTCTGCCTACTAGTAAAATACGGTCCAATCATTGTCGTTGTCCAAGCAAAAATTCAGATGACCTACACTTTTTGAATGGGTTTAGATGTAAAAGAGGTTGGAATGCCTAAAATTTTTCATACCAACATTTTCCTTCCTAGAGTGAGAGGCTGGAGATCTCTTCCCAACTCGGGAGAATAGAAGGAGTATACCTTAAAGTTCAAAGGTGGGTTGTAATTTTTTTTTATGTATTCCTTACTTAATCTCAATGGAAAACTATAGCTAGAAGGCTGAAGACTAATGTGTGCACAATTTTTAAAAGCTGAATGATTAGCCCTATCTTAGCTAACCAAAATAAATGATTAGCTCTATCTTAGCTAACCAAAATAAAGACATATACATCAAGTCATTATCCCTCTGCTGTATTTGTTATATTCCAAGTTAATAAATACCTCATTAGCACAAATTTCTCCAGACTTGCCCATCCAGAAGTCTGCAACTCTATCCCATCAACAGCATCATGTATACCTTGCTTTCATACTTCAACCTCTGTCTGCATGGGGAGGTACTGGAGTGTCTTACATGTTTGTGCAGTTTCAGAACTTCTATTTTCTTCCATCCCTGCTCTCTTATCTGCATTAAGTAGTTGAAGGCAATATTAGAATAATTTTTTCTGCTGATACTAACATTGGCATGGTCACAACAGGTGGAGAAATTGATCCAAATCGAAAATATTTCCCTAATACCAAATGTTAAGTTCTTATCTAAACTCTCAATGTTTAATCAATTCATGGATATTCAGTCACATTATAGACTGAATTCCAGAGGCTCAGACAGGCACCCTTAATTGAATCAGCTGAAGTCAGTGTGAAGTGAGGTGCATTATGGACTAGGGTAAAGCCAGTGGAACTGTAATGGGTAATTGAAGTTGTGGCAGTTATAGATTCCCCTAGTTACAGGGGAATTTTTTATTAGAAGCAGCTTTGGACCTTGTCACCAGCATAAGGAAAAGTTATGATAATCTTCTTCATATTGTAAAATTAATATATTTTTAAGGACATTTTAATTGAAACTAATGATACCTCAGGTAATAGTGAGAGGTGAAGCCAGCTGGACTTCCTGGGTCGAGTGGGGACTTGGAGAACTTTTCTGTCTAGCTAGAGGATTGCAAACACACCAATCAGCACTCTGCATCTAGCTGAAGGATTGTAAATGCACCAATCAGCACTCTGTAAAATCGCACCAATCAGCACTCTGTGTCTAGCTAAAGGATTGTAAACGCACCAACCAGCACTCTGTAAAAACACACCAATCAGCACTCTGTGTCTAGCTAAAGGATTGTAAACGCACCAATTGGCACTCTGTAAAATGGACCAATCAGCCCCCCTGTAAAATGGACCAATCAGCAGGACATGGGCAGGGACAAATATTGGAATAAAAGCTGGCCACCCCAGCCAGCAGCGGCAACCTGCTGGTTTCCCCTTCCATGCTGTGGAAGCTTTGTTCTTTTGTTCTTCACAATAAATCTTGCAGCTGCTTGCTCTTTGGGTCCGCACCACCTTTAAGAGCTGTAACACTCACCACAAAGGTCTGCGGCTTCATTCTTGAAGTCAGTGAGACCACGAACCCACCAGAAGGAAGAAACTCTGGACACGTCAGAACATCTGAAGGAAATGCTCCGGACACACCATCTTTAAGAGCTCTAGGGCTCACTGTGAAGGTCTGTGGTTTCATTCTTGAGGTCAGCAAGACCAAGAACCCACCAGAAGGAATAAACTCCAGACACAATAGCCATTATCATATTTTAAATTATTATCACTTTTACAGGTGGCATTCAAAACTTCTAGGTTTTGGATACGGCCATTGGTATCTGGATTGAAATGGAGACCATATCCATTTAGAAAATGCAGTCAAGGAACTGAGAGCTTGCATGATTTTATGAGACATCTCTATATATATACATTTATATTAATTACATAAATACTGGGCAACTGGTGGAAAATTAATTTGACTGATTCATAAAAGAGAGTGGGAGGTTTTAGTCTATAAATTATGGGCTAAATTCAATATCAAAAAGTAAAACTATCATTTAAAGATAAGATCCTTTACATATGAAAGGCTAAATTATTTTAAATACATAGAAATCATTATAACCATCTATGTACAATAATTTTATGAAAAAATCCATTATATTCTATAAAGGAACATTACAGAACTGCAAAATATTAATGAGTAAAAAGATTTAATACTCTAAAAGTACTAATTATCTCATAGTTGACCTATAGATTTAATGGAATTCCATTCAAAATCCCAGTAGAAGTTTACATAGAAATTGATATTCCAATTATAAATATTATGCGGAAAAGAAATAGGAGTGCTTCTGAACAGGATAAATTGGTGGTGATGATTTACCATTTCAGATACTAGAAATCATATGAAACTATAGTAAGAAAGACACTGTTGCATTACTATTGCAGTCCACTTTCAGTAGAGTTGTATAAGAAGCCCATAAAATGATGTGGTTCTCTGGAATTATATCTTATGTCATATCAGTTAAGAAAGATAGTTTTCTTTAACACAGAAAGTCGTTAAAAAATTATCAGCATAAAGGAGGTCAAGCAAGAGAGCTGCATAGAAACTTCCACAGATCACTCTCCCATTAGGAACACCAAATTTACAAATATCTACACAAAAAAGGCATCTTCATAAGAACCAAAAATCAGCTTAGGTACCAACTTTGCTGCAATGGGATACAGTACTAAGTGGGTTCTTGCAGTCCTCAATTCCAGGCCTTGGCTCTTGGATGGCATGTCTAGACCTACCCAGGGCCAGTGGGAGTCCATTGCCCTGAAGGGTGAGTCCAAGGAGTGGGAGGATTTACCACAAGCTGACTGAAGAGCACTTAGGCAGTGGTAGCCTGGCAGTACTCCTCACAGGCCAGTTGTGGTGGTGGTCATGAGGAGAGACTCATCTGCCTACGGAAAGAGGAGGAAAGAGAAGGAAGGAGTATCTGTGGTTAGGGTGCCAGCTCAGCTTTAGTTGAAGAGAGTACTAGGTAGATTTCTAAGATTTCCTGGAGAAACTCACCACCCTGAAAGGAAGGACACTAGCCTGTATGGCTTTACAACCTGCTGATTGTGGAGTCCTAGAACCATGAGCAAACATAAGCACTAGCCAGGTAGTAGTTATAGGGGGCCTTGGGAGGGGACCAGTGCTCTGCTGGTTTCAGGTCTGACCCAGTGCAATCCCAGTGGTGGTAGCCACAGGGGTGCTTATGTCACCCCAACCCCAGCTCTAGGCATCTCAGTACAGAGAGGGAGACTGCATTTGTTTGGGAGAATGTAGGAAAAGAGAACAAGAGTCTCTGTCTGATAATCCAGATAATTTGTCCAAATATCACCCAAGAACATCAATGTGGTTGCTCTGCAAGTCTTGAAGAATCACTGCATTACTGGGCTTGGGGTGTCCCCTAATCCAGACACAGCTGCAGTAACCAAAAACTTAGGCCAAAAAACCCAAGCCAATTCAAATACCTGGAAAGCCTTCTCAAAAAAGACTGGTACCAACAAGCCCGGAGTGCAAAGACTTAAATAAATACCTAAATCTTCAATGCCCAGACACAGAGAAACACCTATGAATATCAAGACCATCTAGGAAAACATGACCTTACCAAATGAACTAAATAAGGCATCTAGGAACCAATTTTGGAGAGACAGAAATATGTAACCTTTCATACAGGAAATTCAAAATAGCTGCTTTGAGAAAAATCAACAAAATGCAAGATTACATAGAGAAGGAATTCAGAATTCTATCAGATAAATTTACTGAAGCTTGAATAATTTAAAAGAATCAAGCAGAAATACTGGAGTTGAAAAATTGACATGCTGAAGGATGTATCAGTCTCTTGAGAGCAGAATAGATCAAACAGAAGAAAGATTTAGTGAGCTTGCAGACATGGTATTTGAAAACATACACACAGAGGAAACAAAAGAAAAAAGAATAAAAATCAATGAAGCACACCTAGAGGATCTAGAAAATAGCCTCAAAAGGGCAAATCTAAGAGTTATTGGCCTTAAAGAGAATGTAGAGAGATAGGGATAGACAGTTTATTCAAAGGGATAATAACAGAAAACTTTTCAAGCTTAGGCAAAGATATCACTATTTAAGTAAGTACAAGAAAGTTGGCCGGGCATGGTGGCTCACACCTGTAATCCGAGCACTTTGGGAGGCCAAGGTGGGCAGATCACGAGGTCAGGAGATCGAGACCATCCTGGCTAATACGGTGAAACCCTGTCTCTACTAAAAAATACAAAAAATTAGCCGGGTGTGGTGGCAGGTGCCTATAGTCCCAGCTCAGGAGACAGGCAGGAGAATGACGTGAACCCGGGAGGCCAAGCTTGCAGTAAGCCGAGATTGTGCCACTGCACTCCAGCCTGGGCGATGGAGCGACACTCCATCTCAAAAAAAAAAAACAAAAAAGAAATAAAGTTATAGAACAACAAGCATATTTAACCCAAAGAGGACTACCTCGAGGCAATTACTAATCAAATTTTCAAATTTTCAAAGGTCAAGGATAAAGAATGAATTCTAAAAGCAGCTACAGAGTATAAACAAATAACATACAATGGAGCTCCATTAAAACTTGCAGCAAGAATTTTCAGTGGAAGCATTACATTACTGAAATACCAGGGTTTCGGTCTAGTTCCTGCTGCTCACCGCACAGAAGGCCAATTGCTGAGATTACAGGTATTGCCAAGGAAGAAGGCTTTAATCGGTTGCTGCAGCTGAGGAGATGGGCACTCAGTCTCAAATCCATCACCCTGACTGACTAAAACTAGGGGTTTATATAGAAGAGAAGAAATGTAACAATGTGTCAGAAAACCAGAACTAGGGAGGAGCAAAAATCAATCATGATGAATGAGAGGTGTAGCATTTGGTGAGTTTCAGTACTTTGATACTTTCTTGAGAGGCCTGAACGTCCTTTCCTGAGGAAGAAACTCAGATAAAACAAAAAACAGGTTTCATGCTTTAACAGCAGAAGGGTCCATTTCTATGTTTATCCAAAAGAACAGTCTATGGGACTACTGGGTCACTTTCAGTTACAGGCCAGGAAACAGTGATGTGATGTATTTAATGTGCTGAAGGAAGAAATATTTTACCCTAGAGTAGTATATTTGGTGAAAAATCCTTCAAACATGAAGAAAAATAAAGACTTCTACAAACAAACACTAGTTAAGGGATTTCGTTAATACCAGACCTGTCTTACAAGAAATGCTAATGGAAATTCTTCTATCTGAAAGAAAAGGATGTTTTAAGCAATAAGAAAACGTCTGAAGGTACAAAACTCACTGATAATATTAAGTATACACAAAAACACAGAATATTATTACTCTCTAATTGTGGTGTGTAAACTACTCATATCTTAAGTAGAAAGACTGAAAGATGAACCAATAAAAAATAATAACTGACAAATTTTAAAGGTATAGTCAGTATAATAAGATATTAATAGAAATAACAAAATGTTAAAAAGTGAGGAGACATGGTAAAACTGTAAAGTTGTTACTGGTTTTCTCTTTGCTTGCATGTTAGTTTATTGGTTTAAGGAATCAGTGTTAAGTTTTTGTTTTCGGCTTTTTTTTTTTTTTGAGATGGAGTCTTGCTCTGTTGCCCAGGCTGGAGTGCAGTGACACGATCTCGGCTCGACGCAACCTCTGCCTCCCCGGTTCAAGCGATTCTCCTGCCTCAGCCTCCCAAGTAGCTGGGACTACAGGCCTGTGCCACCACGTCTGGCTAATTTAAATATAAATATAAATATAAATAAATAAATATATATATATTTATTTATTTATTTGTTTGTTTAGTAGACACGGGGTTTCACCATGTTACCCAGGATGGTCTTGATCTCCTGACCTCGTGATCCACCCGCCTTGGCCTCCCAAAGTGCTAGAATTACAGGTGTGAGCCACTGCACCTGGCCTACTGTAAACTTTTTATCAGTGAAACATAATAAATTATAAAATATTAATTTAAAGCCTTAACCTCAAATAAAAAACAATATGACAGAAACAAAAATAATAAAAAGCAATAAATTAAAATATACTGCCATAGACAATCATCTTCAAAAGGAAAACATAAAAGAAGGAAGAGAAGGCTTAAAACAGAAAATAAATAACAAAATGGCAGGAATAAGTCCTTACTTAACAATAATTAGATTGAATGAAAATAAACTAAACTCTCTAATCAAAAGACATAGTTTTGCTGAATGAAAAAAGGTTCTCAACATCATGGATAATCAGAGAATTAGAAGTGAAAACTACTCTAAGATACCATCTTGCACTAGTTAAAATTGCTTTCATCCGGCCAGGCGCAGTGGCTCACATCTGTAATCCCAGCACTTTGGGAGGCCGAGGTGGGCGGATCACAAGGTCAGGAGATTGAGACCATCCTGGCCAACATGGTGAAACCCCGTCTCTACTGAAATACAAAAAATTAGCCAGGCATGGTGGCTCGCACCTATAGTCCCAGCTACTCGGGAGGCTGAGGCAGGGGAATTGTTTGACCCCGGGAGGTGGAGTTTGCAGTGAGCCGAGATTGCACCACTGCACTCCAGCCTGGCAACAGAGCAAGACTCTGTCTCACAAAAACAGATAAACAAACAAACAAACAAACAAACAAAAAGGCTTTCCTCCAAAAGTCAGGTAATAACAAATGCTGACGAGGGTGTGGAGAACAGGAAACTCTTGAACACCATTGTGGAGAATGTAAGAAGGTAAATTAGTACAGCCACTGTGGAGAGCTATTTGGAGGTTCCTCAAGAACCTAAAAATAGAGCTACCACATGATCCAGAAATCCCACAGCTAGGTGCATATCCAAAAGAAAGGAAATCAGTATATCGAAGAAGTATCTGCACTTTCATGTTTATTGCAGCACTATTCTCAATAAGCAAGATTTGGTAGCAACTTAAGTGTCCATCAACAGATGAAAGGATAAAAAAATATGCTGCATATATACAATAAAGAACTATTTGGCAATAAAAAAATGAGATCCTGTCATTTGCAATAACATGTATGAGATTGGAGGTCATTATGTTAAGTGAAATAGACCAGGCACTGAAAGACAAACTTTGCATGTTCACACTTATTTGTGGGAGCTGTGAATTTAAACAATTGAACTCATGGAGACAGTAGAATGATGGTTACCAGAGGAAGAGAAGTGTAGTGGGTAGGTCGGGGGAAGTAGGGATGGTTCATGTCTATAAAAAAATAGTTAGAAAAAATGAATAAGATCTAGAATTTGATGGCACAACAGGGTGTGTATAGTCAATATTAATGTAATTTTATATTTTTAAATCACTAAAAAAGAATACTTGGATTGTTCGTAACACAGCATATATGCTTGAAGTGATGAATACCTCAATTTACCCTGATGTGATTTATACACTTTGTATGCCTATGTCAAAAATCTCATATTAAGTATATCATATACATAAACACATACACATGATATGTACCCACAAAAATTAACAATTAAAAATTAAAAATTCAGTATATATATAAAATGTAAAAGTATACCTGGAATGCTTATATTTGGATATTGTTTTAAATGATATACAAATATATAAAAATCAACTTCAAATTGATTAGAACTTTGATAATGGAAATAAAACTTCAAGTATCTAAGTAGTAAATTTTGTTAATATTGGGGTAGGCAAATAGTATTTCAAATCACTAAACAGAGTATATAAAAATTTATTTATGTTTCAGTCAAGACCTCTTTTCATAGAAGTTCACCGTAAGGAAATTAACAAACAAGGAGCTACAAAATAGAAGATATTTGCAGTTTTTAAAAGGAAGAAAAATTGTTAAAGACACGTATAGAATTTTTTCAATTTGATAAGAAAATTGGAAAAAATAGAAAAATGAAAAGAGATTGGGCAAAGAGCTTTAACAAAAATTTCCCAGAAGAAAGAATCTGATGAAGGTCAATACATATTTGAAGATATTTCTAACCTGGCTAATAATAAGGGACATGCAAGCCAATGTAATTATTAATTTAACTGGCAGAAATTGAAAAGGAATTTGTATTAGTTTCCTATGAAAGCTGTTTTTAAAATCACCATAATCTTAGTACCTTAAACAATACATGTTTATAATTTTAAAGTTACAGGACTCAGAAACCTCACAGGTCTCACAGTGCTAAATTAAAGTGTTGTCTGGGTAGTGTTTCTTACTGAAGTTTCTAAGAGACAGTACATTTTCTTTTCTTTTGTAGCTCTTACAGATGATCTGCAGTCGTTGGCCCATGGCTCCCTTCCATCTTTGAAGGCAGAAATGTCCATTGAGTCTTTCTCACATTACATCACATCACATCATTTTGACAATTCCCCTGTCTCCTTCTTCCATATATAAAGAGCCCATAGGATTACATTGAATTGCAGGTAATTGTACATCTCCTTTTATGTCTAGATCAACTGATTAGCCTCCTCAATCACATCTGCAACCTATGTCTCTCCCTGCTTCCAGTGTTTCATAACATAGTCACATTTGAATTGAAGATTTGAATATGGATAACTTTAGGGTTCCATTGTTCTGCTTATCACAGCATTCAATAACAAGTATTGGAGACGATGTGAGGCCACAGTCTTTCTTATTCACCACTGGCAGAGTGTAAAGTGACAAAACCATTTTATTAGGATTGCAAGAATACTGTGATAACAATAATCTCATATCTTAATAGGCTACCAAACAAGTGTATTTCTTACTCAAAAAAATAACTACTATAATTCTGAAAAAAGTTTGTAAAGAGGTATACTTGAAAAACTGTGGTGCATAAACTGTATTCCAAGTTTTATATCTACAATAAATGATTACGTAAGTACCAAGGGAGACATGTAACAACAGCTCAGGAGAGCAAAAACCTGAAACCAAACACCCCTCAAACTACATTTTATTCACACAGGGAATATTGTGTCTCAGCCGCATAAGCAAAATGTGGTGTATTCACACAATGAATATTGTATCTCAGCCGAAAAGAATGAAATATGTGACTGTTAAGGCAAAAGCAAGTTCTTGGAAAAGTCACTTGTTTCACACTATGACAGACTGAATCTTACAATGGAAAAAAAGCCACACACAACTAATCATTCATTTAAAGAGAAATGCATATTTATAAAAAATTGAGAGTAAATAGTTCACACAATAAGTTTTAAGATTAAATTTAAGTGTCACTTTTGCTTGGATACCTTTCAGAAATCATCCCCAGGTAACTCAGGTTTCCATAGCCCCCCTACTTATGTCTTTTATTACACTTATCTCACTGTATTTATATGTTTTTCATGTGTTTTTTTTTTCCCGACTCTTTATCTAGACAGAGAGCACCTGAAAGAATCTAACTTATCTTATGTTTCTTTTATTCTTAGCTTCCAGACAAACACTTTCTGAAAATGGCCAGGGAATAAATATTTATGTTGTGCTGGCCACATATGGTTTATGTTGCAACTACTCAATCTCAGCATTGTACAACAGAAGCAGCTGTAGACAATAGATAAAATAATGGGTAGGGGTGTGTCCAAATACAACTATACTAATAAAAACAAGCTGAGAGAAGGATTTTGTCTAAAGCTGGAGTTTGCCAAACAACTATCCTAGAACAATGCCCTATAACTGTGGACACATAAGCGAAGTGTGTGGCTGAATTAGCTAATTAAGAGGTGAAAGTTTTCACATATGATAAATAGGCATTAGCTCATATTGATGCATTTGAAATGTTTTAACAAAAATGTGAACTCCAGCAAGTTAGGAAGAAAATGAGACTTCTGCAATTATCAGATTGTATAAACTCATATCTTAGCCTAGATTGACATGGAGATTAACACATGGATACGTGAATGTGTATCGTACTACATCTTCATATGTTCATCTAATAGTTGTTTATTGACACGCAGCACTGTATAAGCCATTCGTGATAAAACGGCCCAAAGCACCTTCTGCTCCATTCTCTGATGCTAATTTTATGTGAACAGTTACATTCTACATGTGATTAATCATGCTTTTCATTTTTAATTTTTTTATGCTCCACATATTTTGTTTTGTTGCTAGTTTGTGTTTGCATGGTTTTCTCTACCTATTGGTGATTATAATTATGTTTCCTTGTTTATTTGATTTAATATTTAGTGAATCAATAAAATCTATGACAATATCTTAATAATTCTCTAAACTGTCTTAGCAAACTTAATAAAAAATAATTCATAATTAAAAGGAGCCAATAAAACTGTGAATTATATTCTTAAATATCCTCAAAAGAGGAATAAATAGGTTTTGAAACAATGCCAATAGCTCTTCCTCAGGCTATTTGTGGTAACTTCCAGGTAATGGTTTTCCATTTTTGTTTATGCCTATAGTTTAAAACTACATTGTAAATTGATAAATACATACATATTATATAAAACAGGACACTCTCGCTCTCATATTTTTATTCTATTTTTCCCTGTTCTAATGTTGACTATTTTATTCCATTTTTAAGGTCCAGGCACAACCCATTAAATTGATTATGTGATCGAAAAGTTAAATGTAGTACGTGGTTTGAAAATCACTGTATTAGAACATAAAATGATACAGTTAGAGGTGAAAAGACTTTTCCACATGCAACCATTTGCAAATTTTACTTGCATGCCATGTATTTACATTTTAAAAATGAGGATATTAAGACTTAAAGTCTTGACTTAATTCAGAAAATATGAGGGTTATTAAGAAAATGACATTCTCTATTCCAACTTTTAGGAAGACAGTTTTTTATTTAGCATCTGACTGAATTCATTATAGTAGTTTCAATTATTTATGATGTTGTTCTTTTTATAAGGCTGCGTCAACTTTCCAAGTTGTCAGTGCTGCTTATATTTGGATATTGTTTTAAATGATATACTGATACTATTATGTGTTGATTCATTAAAAATCAATATTGATTTTTATAAATATCTAGTTAGGTGCAGCACATAAGTTTGTGAAAATGAAAATTCATTCTAGTGAATTGATAGCATCAGTTGATTTATTTAGATTTATCTGGATCAACCTAGTTGGATCTTTTATGCGACAGAGGCAGTTTTACAACTTTATGACTTATGTCCCAAAATCACATACATACTTGTGCTGCTCTGGAGAAAAATTAATTTCCTTTTTCCTTTTTTTTTGTTTTTGTAGCTGTGCAGTTGAGAAATGGTTTTCCAGCAAGAAAGACTTATTTTTATGGCTTTATTTTTGCTGTTCTTTTTGCTGTTGCTTCTTCAGTGCCTAGCACAGTGCCTGAAATATGTTTGACATGATAAAAATATTTATTGGTTGAAACAATGACAGAGGTTTTCTAAAGCATTATGAAAAATGCTGTATACAAAAAAAATTGCTGTATCCAAAATAATCCTGACTCAATCATGTTTCTTATGCTTGAAAAACTTAGGAATTTTACATAATTGTTAGCTTTCATAAACAGTTGAACCCCAAGTAAAGGTAGCATAATTAAGTACAAGAGAGTGATACACACAAGAATGATAATCTCTACTTAAAAATATATTTAATTAAATGTGTATGATTTTAAAATGTTAAAAAATTAAATATATACAAAAATGAGATGCCACCACACATATATTAGAATGACGTAAAATAAAAATACTGATAATGTCAATTGCTAGTGGGGATGTGGAGAAACAAGAATTCTCATTCATTGCTGGTGGGAATGTGAAATAGTGCAGTCACTTTAGAAGACAGTTTTGCAGTTTCTCCCAAAACTGTAGAGTCTTACCTCACGATCCAGCAATCACACTCCTAGGTATTCACCCAAATCAGTTGCAAACATTTGTCCACACAAAAACCTTTACA
This sequence comes from Homo sapiens, assembly GCF_000001405.40. Classification (NCBI taxonomy): domain Eukaryota; kingdom Metazoa; phylum Chordata; class Mammalia; order Primates; family Hominidae; genus Homo; species Homo sapiens. The sequence goes on along the minus strand of NC_000005.10, from coordinate 25,865,597 downwards.
TAAGTGTTTATAACAATTCATTCACAATAGCCAGAACTAGAAACAACCAAGATGTTCTCAATGGCTGAATAGAGAAACCAACGATGATGCGTCTACACAGTGCAATTTTATTCAGTGATATAATGAAATGATCTTTCAAGTCACAACAAGACATAGGGAAACATTAAATGTTTATCAATAATTGAAAGAAGCCAATCTCAAGAGCCTATGTGTTCTTTGCTTTCAAATGTATGACATACTAGAAAAGGCAAAACTAAGTAAAATGAAGAGTGGTTGCCAGGAGTTGGGTTGGAGAGAGGAGGAACAAATAGGTAGAATACAGGGATTTTTAGGGAAGTTAATGTATGATACTCTAATGGTAGATACATGGCATTATGCATTTGGCAACACTCAGAGAACTATGCGACACAAACAGCACTGATGTAGGTATGGAGTTCAGTTAGTAATAATGTATCGACATTAGTTCATTGTTTGTAACTAATGATCAGTGCACATACAAGATTTTGCCAATAGGAGAAACTGAATTTGGGGGAAAGCGAGGATATTGGAAGAAACTTTCTCTACTTTCTGTTCTGTTTTCCTGTAAACCTAAATCTACTTTAAAAAGCAAAGATTATTAATTTTTAAAAATCAGAATTAAAAATGTTAGGTTGGGTATAGTGGTTCACACCTGTAATTCCAGCACTTTGGAAGGCTGAGGCAGGAAGATTGCTTGAAGGCAAGAGTTCAAGACCAACCTGGCCAGCAAAGCAAGATCCCATCTCTACCAGGGATTTAAAAAAATATTAGCCAGGTGTGGTGGCTCATGCCTGTTGTCCCAGCTATTGGGCAGGCTCAGGTAAAAAGATTCCTTGAGCCAAGGAAGTTGAGGCTGCACTGACCTATGATTATGCCATGCCGCTGCATTCCAGCCTGAGTGACAGAGTGAGACCCCATCCCCCACACACAAAAAAATTAAGGTATAGTTTATTCTCTTTTAATTTAATTGTGAACTGGTAAATATTTCTTCATACCTAACTGTTAAAATCTTCTGTGATATCTTAATAAAATTATCACTTAATTATTTAATTACCTGTAAGGCAATTTCTTCTACCAAAAATAAAATTCTGATATTTAGGATTTCTAGAAGTGGCTTCTCTGGTAGATCAGTTACTTTAATGGCACCAGTCAATGGCCTCCATAGAGTCATACCTTGGCTCTTTTACTTTGTTGTCTTCTGTGTCTCTTATCCTAAGCTCTGCCCTGTTACTTACTTTATCCAACAGGGTGGAACAAACATAAAATAAGCATTATTTCTGTCACTGCAAAGATTTCAAGGCCTGGCTTATCTGAAACCACAGAGAACAGAGACAAGTGAGTCTCAGTTATTACATTAAATAAGCTGCAGGCCGCTGGGCCTGAGGTCATCTCCATACTTTGAATTCTTAGGTAACAAACAACCACCCAGTTTAATACCTAAATAAACTAAAACTTATCTTACATAAGTATAATTGTATAACAGCTGGGTTTCAGTCAATCACAAACAGCCAACCTTCAGCCAATCACAGACATCTAACTGATCAGCTCATGCCCAAATACGGCTGTAACCAATCAGATGATTTCCCTACTTCAGTGGTCAACCTTTCAAAGCTCACTGCTCAGGCTGCCCAGCACAGCTCTCTGAACTTCTTCCAGTTCAGAGCGACACCTGCTTCATGAATTCTTCTTTGATCAAATAGATTCTGTTAAATTTAATTTATCTAAAGCTTTTACTTTACCACAGCTGATTGAAGTCTATTCTACCTCAGCCAGTTCTCAACAAACTCTTGGCTGACCAAAACCATATGAGCAAACACAGCTGACATCTGCATAGCCTGGACCAGGTTAGTAGAAACCACACAAGAATGCTTCCTCACAAACAACATTAACACCTCAGTGGCTTACAACAATAGGTATTTACCTTTGTTCATGAATCTATGCATGGCCTGTGTGGTTTCTACTAAGCATCCTGAGCAAAAGGAAATACTTATTGTAACCCACTGAGGTGTTGGTTTTGTTTGTTATGAAGTATTACTGTTTCAGAAAATAAGTGTAGCCCCTGTTGAGAATAAGTACTGTATTTGTTTTTTACTAGAGCCAAATCACAGATTAAGACCTTAGAAAATTTCTAAGAGATGGGATAAATGCAACTATTTTTACATGAATTATATATTTCAAGCCCAAAGGGAATATAATATCTGAGTGCCTCTCAGAAATTAATGGTTTCTTTAGGGCGACAGAAAGCCTAAATTACTCACACATTTTTAAAAAGGAGACAAAAGAACAATAATTAATTTACCCTCAAACAGAAGAAAGTAGTAAATAACTACCATAATTCCTTTTAAAAGAGATATTACAAAAAATACAAAAGGAAATGTAAAATAAAATATTACATCATCAACCTAAATAGCAGACACTGAGACTCTCAAAAAAAAAAAGATACTTATATCAGAAGGAGCATTGCAATGAGAACACACATAGGTGTAGTCAGAAAAGTAAAAGAAGACAAAGATTTTAAAAGGAAAAATAAGGATGATTACATAAATTGTTTTGAAACAGTTATCCTTGACTATAAGGGTCAATAAGACTGGCATCAGCCTAAGGTTGAAAAGGCAGTTGCTGAGCAGATGTTCTTGCAGAAGGATTTTTTGCAAAAGGTTGATATGGCCCTTTTGTGTAAGGTTGATAATGGTACAAGATTGTGGTTTTTGCAGGATATTTGGTGATGGTTCTTGTCAGGCATTGGTGCATGAGAACTTACCCTTCATGACCTGCTGACTTTGTTTTTGCCAGGGTCTGCCATAAATGACTCTTTTGCTTTTGACAAGTTTCACACTTTTCTCTTTTGATCAGAATCTTTCTCTAAAATCAATTCTGATCAACCATCTGTGGTTAGGTTTTGATTATTTCTTGCTGGCAGAATGAATCTATCCTGGGTTACTGGCCTGGTCCCACATCAGAGGAAAGTGATTGTTGACTAGATTCAGTATCAAAACCCTTTTAACAATATTTGTGCAACAAGAGAAATTTGGAGAGTGATGTGGTTTGGCTGTGTCCCCACCCAAATCTCATCTTGATTTGTAGCTCCCATAATTCTCACATGTCCTGGGAGGCACCTGGTGGGAGGTAATTGAATTACGGGGGTGGGTCTTTCTTGTGCTATTCTCATGATAGTAAATAAGTCTCATGAGATCTGCTGGTTTTATAATGGAGAGTTCCCCTACAAAAGCTCTTTTTTCTGCCGCCATGTAAGACATGACTTTGCTCCTCATTGACTTTCTGCCATGATTGTGAGGCCTCCCCAGCCATGTAGAACTGTGAGTCAATTAAAGGTCTTTTTTTTAAATAAACTACCCAGTCTTCGGTACGTCTTTATTAGCAGCGTGAGAAGAGACTAATACAGTAAATTGGTACCAGTAGAGTGGGGTGCTGCTGTAAAGATACCTGATAATGTGAAAGCGACTTTGGAACAGGGTACAAGGCAGAGGTTGGAACAGTTGAAGAGCTCAAAAGAAGACAGGAAGATGTGGTAAAGTTTGGAATTTCCTACAGACTTGTTGAATGGTTTTGGCCAAAATGCTGATAGTAATATGGGCAATAAATTCAAACATACATGGTCTAAGATGGAGATGAGGAACTTGTTGTGAAGTGAGGCAAAGGTGACTCTTGCTATGTTTTAGCAAAGAGACTGGCGAGATTTTGCTCCTGCCATAGGTATCTGTGGAACTTTGAACTTGAGAGAGATGATTTAGGACATCCGGAGAAAAAATTTTCTAAGCAGCAAAGCATTCAAGATATGACTTAGGTACTGTAAAAAGCATTCAGTTTTATGTATTCACAGAGATATGGCTTGGAATTGGAACTTATGTTTAAAAGGGAAGCAGAGCTTAAAAGTTTGGAAAATTTGCAGACTGACCATGAGATAGAAAGGAAAAACCTATTAGGAGAAACTCAAGCTGGCTGCAGAAATTTGCATAAATAACAAGGATCCAAATGTTAATCTCCAAGACAATGGGAAAAATGTCTCCAGGGCATGTCAGAGGTCTTCATGGAAGCCTCTCCTATCACAAGCTAGGAGTCCAAGGAGGAAAAAATGGTCTCATGGGCTGGGCTCAGGGCCTTGCTGCTTTGTGCAGTTTCGGGACTTGGTCCCCTGCATCCCAGCCATGGCTAAGAGAGGCCAACATACAGCTCAGGCTGCTGCTTCAGAATGTGCAAGCCCAAGCCTTGGTGGCTTCCACATTGTGTTGGGCCTGTGGCTGCAAAGAAGTCAGAATTGAGGTTTGGGAACCTCCGCCTAGATTTGAGAAGATGTATGGAAATGCTTGCATGTCCAGGCAGAAGTCTGCTACAGTGGCTGTGCCCTCAAGGAGAACCTCTGCTAGGGCAGTGCAGAAGAGAATGTAGGGTTGGAGCCCCCACACACAGTCCTCACTGGGGCACTGCCTAGTGGAACAGTAAGAAGAGGACCACTGTCCTTCAGACCCCAGAATGGTAGATCCACCAACAGCTTGCCCTGTGCACTTGGAAAAGCTGTAGATACTCAACACCAGCCCATGAAAGCAGCCAGGAAAGAGGCTGTACCCTGTAAAGCCACAGGGGCAGAGCTGCCCAAGACCATGGGAACCCACATCTTGCATCAGCATGACCCAGGTGTGAGACATGGAGTCAAAGGAGATCATTTTGGAACTTTAAGATTTGACTGCCCTGCTAGATTTTGGACTTGCATGGGACCTGTAGCCTCTTCATTTTGGCCAATTTCTCCCATTTGGAATGGCTGTTTTATCCAATGCCTGTATCCCCATTGCATCTAGGAAGTAACTAACTTGCTTTTGATTTTACAGGCTCACAGGTGGAAGGGACTTGCCTTGCCTTGGATGAAATTTTGGACTGTAGACTTTTGAGTTAATGCTGAAATGAGTTAAGACAGTGGGGGAACTGTTGGGAATACGTGATTGGTTTTGAAATTTGAAGACATGATATTTGGGAGGGGCCAGGAGCATAATTATATGGTTTGGCTGTGTCTCCACTCAAATCTCATCTTGAATTGTAGCTCCTATAAATCCCATGTGTCATGGAAGGTAATTGAATCATGGGAGTGGGTCTTTCCTATGCTGTTTTTGTGATAGTGAGTAAGTCTCAGTAGATCTGATGGTTTTATAATGGAGAGTTCTCCTACACAAGCTCTTGTGCCTGCCATCACATAAGATGTGACTTTGCTCCTCATTCGCCTTCAGCCACGATTGTGAGGCCTCCTCAGCCATGTGGAACTATGAGTCAATTAAACTTCCTTCCTTTATAAATTACCCATTCTCAGGTATGTATTAGCAGTGTGAGAACAGACTATTACAGAGATTAACTCTCAGGTTAAATCTACCTGAAATCCATCACTAAATTTAATTTGTTCTGTCTGTAGACAGTGATAGAATCTGAAAGTGCTGGACCAGCATTATTCTGTTAGGGGCCATATTTCTGCAGAAATTTGACAGTTAACCTGTAAGAAAGTTAAAAAAAAAAATGAAATTTATAATAATATGATAATCCCTTACATAAGGGTTTTAAGCCATGAATCCAGGCTTAAAGGCAACCAACTAAATAAATCAAAGTATCAAGGGAAACTAGGTAAGATCTGTTGTAAACATGTGGCTTGTTTTATTTTATGTAGTTTGGATAATCATTTCATTATTTGACATCCCAGTATTAGATTAAATCAAAACACAGCATGTAATAAAATGGATCACTAGAACAATTTGAATAAAATGTTGTATTAGGGTGTTGTCAAAGTTATCCACTAGATGGACTAAAAAACTAAAGGATCTCTTAGATCATGTAAAGATCTAGGTTTGATATGATATAAAATTTTGTCATTACCCACAGAGGTTTCTGATTATAATATTTTAATGACACCATTATGCTGCCAAGTTAAAAAGAAAGAGTACACATAAGCAAGGAAAACTTAAGAGGGGCAAGTATCTTACTATGATGTGTTGTTTTGTTCTGTTGTCTTGGGAAATGCTGTCCACAGCATGAAGTAACCAATGTCTTGTTCTGGTTTGTAGTTTGAAGTTCTTTAGGGATTGGTAGTGGGCAGTTTTATGAACTTTCTGTAGGCCACACATCATGCATGAGGCTTGTCCCTTGAAATTTATACTTAGTTGTCTAGCTTCAGCTCATAGGGTTTTAAAAAGAGCACTTCCCATTTTTAGTAAGTCCATGTGGGAAAAAAAAATGATTGGAGGGAGCTACAAGAATTTATGTTCTAGTCCAGTTTGTAGATAAATAAAAATAACTTGAAAGCTATGCACAAGGCTGCAGTCTAATAAGAGATACATTACAGTTTTTCTTTAAAAATTTATGCTTTGGCCGGGTGCGGTGGCTTACGCCTGTAATCCCAGCACTTTGGGAGGCCTAGGTGGAAGGATCACGAGGTCAGGAGATCGAGACCATCCTGGGTAACACGGTGAAACCCCGTCTCTACTAAAAATACAAAAAAAATTAGCCAGGCGTGGTGGCGGGTACCTGTAGTCCCAGCTACTCCGGAGGCTGAGACAGGAGAATGGCGTGAATCCGGGAGGCGGAGCTTGCAGCGAGTGGAGATCGTGCCACTGTGCTCCAGCCTGGGTGACAGAGTTAGGCTCCGTCTCAAAAAAAAAAAAAAAAAAAAAAAAAAAAAAAGAAAAAAAAATTATTGTTTTTCCCCGCAGCAACCCTGAATTCTAACAAAGATGAACAGAGTAAGGCTAATTTGTTTGTATAATTGGTTTTGCGAAATTTGGCCTAATCATTTTCATAAGTTTAGCAAGAACAGCGATTGGCCACATAGTAATCTGAGATTAAACATTTCAAAACCTCTCAAGGCTAGAAGGCCAAGCCAAGGCAGACCTCAGGCTTTCTCTACAGTACCTCTAAACATTTGAAATATGACATCCCAGTCAAACCTTGGCTCATACAATTAATGTTTTCAATTGTATTCTGCTATGAAGAGAGCAGATTCTCATCGAACCTATGCCAAGAACCATATTAACATAAAAATAAGAATACTCATTAATCATTTCTGAATTTTGGAGGGATCAATTAGGAAGGAAAAATAAATGTTTGCACTTTTGTTCACAAAATTATACTTTATTATATTGCTGCAAACTATAGATTGCTTAAAAAGAATGTTTCTTTAAATCTGGGAAACAGATTATTTAAGGAAAGAACAACAATGTTTCAAAAAATAGTCATAAAAAGGTTATTTTATCAGATATTTAATCTCATGTAATTGAAACGGGAGAGTCTCCTGATTCCCCTCACAGGACGTGCAACAGGTGTGGCTCCTCTGTTTGGTCACCCTGCAGCTCAAACCCCTAGGGGGCGCATGCAGACGGACAGGTGCAGAGACTGGGGTGAGTGCTTTGTGTTCTCGGCCTCGCAGTGGTGTCTAGGAGGGGGTGCCTGCAACCCCAGTGTTACAAAACTCTTTCAGCTTTGCTGTCTGCAGATGGCTTGAGTGTTAATCAGCTCAATGGCCCCTCTGCCTTATCACAAGGGCAGAGGGCCAATGTGACAGCCTTCTGTATCCTGAGCTCTTGCCTGGTGTAATGGAAGAATCAGATCACACAATGGCTCAACAGAAAAGTGCACGGTTATTATTGAGTGGTGGAGGTGGCTCTCAGCAAGATGAATGGAGAGCCAGAAGAGGGGATGGAGTGGGAAGGAAGGTGATCTTCGCCTTGTTAGATATTTGTTCTAGATTTATTTTCAAAGAATCAATATATCAATATGTTCAATACTTTGCCTTCTACTTTTAAACTTAACTTCCTCATAAAGCAACCTTTTCTGATTACCTGCTCCACCCTGACTCATTTCAATCACCTGCTCCACCCTGACTCATTCCGATTACCTGCTACCTGCTCCTCCCTGACTCATTTTCCACCCTGCATAACCATTTTTCCAGCCAAACAACTCACCCCGTCACTCTCTTTAAATTAGCCAATCAGAATCAGTTTAGCCTGTGCGGTCTAACCCTAGCCAATATGGGAAGGACATAGCAGCAGGGGCCACCTGCGTCAGAGATAAGAACCCCTTCCTCTCCCTTGTCCAAGTGTGCACTCACCATTGCTCCATCTGTAAGGGCGCACCCTTCTATAAAAGTACATTGTCTTGCTGAGAATTAAAAAGAAAATTTTATATTCGAGTGCTGTTTCTTTTGCGGCACTGAAACTTTATTTAGAACACCCTGGAGTCAGGCCACCCAGTGGCTGGACTCTTCTCCAACCCCTCCAGCCAAACTTTCCTCAGCATCTGGATGTCCCTCCTCTCTCTTTCTCTGCTGTGTCATTCCACTGTCTTTGGTCTGCTGGTCTGCTGGTCTGCTGGTCTGCTCTGGAGCTTGGGATTTAGGGTTCATATGGGGGCAGATGGGGGCAATATTTGGGGCAAAACCAGAAATGCCTGTTCTCATTTACATAATTAATTCTTGTTCTGCTTGATCTCAGAAGTTACATGAATTTATCAGTTTCTTAATTAGATTTCTACATATTTTTCTTTATCCAATGATTTTAAAGTTATCAGAAATATTTGAAAGTACTTATTAGTCTTTTCCATGAATCTGATTGCAGATGTGTATAGAGAAAAATTAAAATAATAACCATAGATGACAAAAACTTAGAATAGACCCGGTTAAAAATATTATGAGAGTTTATCATAATGAAAAATTGACACAGAAATTTATTTATTCCTATTGTATAAAGCATTTTAAGATGACAACCAGAATCATACCTGACAGCATCTTACCATGACCTCAGATTTTTATAAATTTCACATAATCTTTGGAACATTCATAGGAATAACACATACATACAAATATAACATGATATTAAAAATAATAAATTATTATTTGACAATAATTTATTATTGTCAAGTAATAAAATGATCTGGCATCATTTTATTATTTGACAGTATTTCCTATACAATTTAATACATCAAACAAACCTAACTAGTTTAGCATCTCTACAAGATGACAGATACATTCTTTGATGCTCTCCTGGGCACATGTGGAAAATGCAAAAGTAAATCTGAAGTCAAAAAGACTTAATTTAGAACTCTTATACTGAGAAAACCTGCCAAGGATGTCAAATGGTTTTTAATTAAGACAGAATCATTTATCATTGTAAAATAATTGTCATTCACTTAACCAAAGTGACAAAAGATTTTGAAAGCAAATACTGAGATTTACATAGATATAAAAACTTAATGCTTTAAGGGTTCACTTTTCCTAAGTAATTAGAGACCTTCATTTAAAAAAAAATACAAAACAACAAGATACAGGAAATTATTTTGATAAGATGTATTTGTTTTTCTAGGCCAAACTTTCTAAAAAGGAATGAATAGCAGTGTGATTGCTTTTTAATAGGAAGCCCATTTAGAGAATCTGAAAGTCAAACCTGATGATAAAGTACTTGAATTCAATTGGATACTAGGAAAGTGTTAACCCAACGTTGAGTGTAAGTAATATTATTATAGAAGATGTAAATAAGAGAACCAGTACCTTGAGAAGGAGAATATATGGCTTTCAGAAAAATAAAAGCACATGGAATTTCCTGATCACACAGAATAATTTAGACACATCAAAAAAGCCAAGAGTACAAAGTCATGGTATACTGATTGCTACCCTGAGCTTTCCAGACAAACATTTTCAGCATTGGGTAACAACAGCAGAGTCAGAATGTCCCCAGGAAATAAGAAGGAAGAGCTAAAAGCAATAATGCATGACCTGCAAATCATGTGCAGTGACATACAACACAGGTTGAAATTCTGAGATATGAATGTGAAAAACTGGAAAAGAAAAACTATTTTGAGAAATAAAATTACTATTTTTAACCTAAAACTTGAGAAATTAAATGAAACCTGTCAAAATCAAAAAGTCTGCAGTTCAGAAGATAAACATTCATAGAAAAATTCATAATTAAAAAATCAAAGCCTTTTGCAATTTATTTTTATTTTTACCAAGAACATAGAAATACCTAAAGAAAGCCTTCTTTCTTTAAACATAGAGAAGTAGATTTGGTTATCCATCAGTGAATTAATTCTTAATTTTTAGAACTAGTTTTATACAATTTGCTTCTAGTTTTTAATTTCAGTCAACTTCATTGTGCACAACATTCCTTTCATAAGAGTCATCTTTTATAAACCTTTTGCAATTATCTCAAACATTTTATAACTTGCTAAAGCATTCAGTTCTGTCCTACACTTTCTTCTTTTTCATATCAAAATAACCAATTGTTTTTCATTCTACCTTAGAACAAAAATTTACTCTCCTTTTTTCTTTACCATTTTGACCATACAAGATTATTTCTTAAATAAAATTATTTTATAAACTTTCTTACCAAAAATGTGTATATCCACATACTAATAAATTTCTTTGCATCTCTCTTCTAGTCATTGGTTTCTGTCCTGTTTTTATTTTCTTCTTGAATCCATATTTTGAAATAACCTTCAAATAATCTTAAATGTGACAAAATATTCATTTTTAACAAAACTTATTATTTTAAAATAATTGTATCTCAGAAAAAGCACATCTTTCTTATATACTTTGCAGATAGAATTGCACAATTTAAGTAAAATGTTTACCCTTTACTAACTTTAATTTTTAGTGAAAAACCTAGGAAGTAAGCAATTTTGTATTGCTTGTCATGCACCAACAGCTTCTGAATATACATCTTATAATTTAGAGAAACATACATTGTCTCATAAAACAATCTTTCAATGTGGAATAGGACACATTTATTAGCAAACCCAAATATCAACTACCTTCTTATAAAATTCAAAAAGCCAAAAGTAAATAAATTAGAACCTATGTTAAGTAATTAATGCTTCCATATTTTGTCTTATTTGGAAATGACCCAGAGATTAATGAGTATCTATCACTTCATTTAACATAATATGACTTTAAGACTTCAAATTACAACAAAAGTTCATTTGTAAACATTGATCTCATTTACACTTACCTAATTTATTTATTTTTAACATTTATACCCAGATTACTTATGAAAACAGAGACCAACCTGTCATCTCCAATTATTTTTCTGTCAACCATTTTTAGAGTATTTGATCATCACATATTCACCTAAGTACTTAAAAGTTAAATATATAGGTGTTTTTCCAATTACTTAGATGATGTAGCTTTTAAAAGATTATATAAATATTAAACTAGTTTCATTCATTAAAAAATTACACAAAGACCATTTTTCTTTGGAGACTAGATTTATAGTTTTATGACTGTCAAACATCTAGGAGAGAAAAAAAAACAGTCTGATGATTAAGCAAAGGCAAAAATATAGGCAGACAATTCCGAAGACATTTCTATTTTTATTTAACCAACAATTTTTTTAACATCAGTTTATCTACCAAAGATTCACCCAAGTCATGTGAACTTAAAAACACTTAGATTACTTACTACATTTTTGAAAAATTACTTGATTTAAGAACTTATTTTTTCTAGCCAATTAAATAGAGCTCTATGTAAATTAAATATTATATACACATGATATTTCAACACGAAGCCATAAAAACATACAGATGAACAATAACAGAAAACTCTTAGTTTTCATTTGCCCTTGAGAGTTAATTTTATGGAGGCTGTAGACTCTATATTTGGGTAAAATAGTTTTCATAGCAGTTTTGATATGGAAGGGAAGTGCTGGGAAGGGAAGAGCATGGTCCTTTTAAATGATATGGAAGGGAGGAAGGGCATGGTCCCTAGCTTAGGGATCCACCTCCTGGCCTGTGCCCAGGGACCTAGGTGAGGACAGGCATTTTTGTTTTCCTGCCCAAATGCTGCATTTCCAAAGACAACCTTGGCCTGCCATGCCCTATCCTGTGCCCATAAAATCCCCAGGACCCTAGCAGGCAGACACACAGGCAGCTGGACATCGAGAGGAGCACATCAGCAGAGGAACATACAGGTGGCTGGATGTGGAGAGTAGCACATCAGCTGACAGCTGCACACCAGCAGGCCACCAACCAGCAGAACAACGTGAAGTTTGGCCAGGGCAGTTGGAGGAGAGCTTGGGCTGCTGAGTGGCCAGACTTCAGGGGAAACCCATCTCCCTTCTGGCTCCCCCATTTGCTGAGAACTACTTCCACTCAATAAAACCTTGCACTCATTTTTTCAGCCCACGTGTGATCCGATTCTTCTGGTACACCAAGGCAAGAATCCCAGGATATACAAAGCCCTCTGTCCTTGCGATAAGGCAGAGGTCTGATGAAGCTGATTAACACAAGCCACTTATGGAGGGCTAAACTAAAAAAAAAGAGCACCGTATAACACACGCCCACTGGGGCTTCAACTGCAAATATTCACCCTTAGACACTGCTGTGGGGTCAGAGCCCTGTAGCCTGCCCGTCCGTCCGTATGCTCCCCTAGACGTTTAAGCAGCGGGACACTGAAGAAGGGAGCCACACCCCCATCAAATGCCCTGCAAGGAGGACAAGGGAACTTTTCCCATTTCAGTTTGATTTTTTAAAAGCCTTATTTTACCATGTTTTATAGTTTTAAGTGATTTTATGGGTTAGTTTCTCAGATGTTTACATTTTCGCTAGGACTCACTGGAAAAACAAACCTTCAGGTGACCGTGAATTTATTAATACATTTATCTTGGTTTTGTTTGCTGGTCTGGTTGCTTGACTAATCAGTCCAGGTGGGGAACACACTTTAAAATAATTTTCAAAGGATTATTTGAAGTGTTTTTGGCTTTTTCTTTGGCCTATGTGTGGCAGACAAGGAAATTTCTATGCTGGACAGAGACACATTTTATTATACCTCTGTACTCAAGATTTTTGCAAGGCATGAGTGGTTAATAAGCAAACTTGTTTGATCTGAGATTCTAATTTTTATAAGCACTTATCAGGTTCTTTTTTTTAGACTATCAATCTTTCAATTTGTATCATAACAACAATTTCAGCCATGAGTTATATATTAATACGAGAAGAAAAGTCAGAATTTCAAAGTAGGTAGAGGAAAAAAAAGAAATTGAAAGTTTAGAAGCTTTTAGGTGTTAAAATATTCGGACTTTTAACTATGTAGTTGCAGTTTTATAAGAAAATCATGCTTAGGGAGTTCAACTATTTCCCATAATGGCCATAAATTATCCTTGGTGTAATTTGCCTATCAGTTTAAAAATATGCTTGAGAATGGGCCTTAAACTTTTAATGTGCAGCAGGCTGGCATTCCAGAGCTTTAGCCATGCCTTAGAATTTTGTGAATCCCATTTTATATCTTATTGATGTCTTCAGAGAAAAAAAGAAACAAAGAAGAACATATATAAACCCTATCGGGAACATCAGCCATTTCGACTGGTGTTTTGTTTTACAGTGTGCCTAGCACAGGATACTTCCTTTTGTACTTGGTGAATGGCCAATGCCCTAGTTGTCCACCCTGTGACCAAGGTTTTTCTAGTAGCACATATATTTTCTTAAGACTGGCAGATGCCCTAGTGATATGAACAGGAGGCAGGGAAATACTGGGTAGAAGAGGGTGGTCCCTGGAAAGGGCCACACACTAAAGCCTGGACCTGCGGCACAAAATGAGAACATGCATCCCTGGTTTTTTTTTGCCAGATTGTTGCCTTCTCCAAAACCACCCTGGCCTGTACCTCCCCTCATCCTGTACTCAGAAAAACTCCAGGCCCCACCAGCAGAGTGGCAGAGCAGCGAAGGAGAGAAGACGCAGCTGCACGTGGGGGAGGAGCAACTTGACTTCAGAGGGATGGTTTGACGGTGGGACTTTGGAGAAAAGTTCAGCCGGGGATGGCTAAACTCCAGGTGAAGATCACTTTCTCATTCCTTCCCCTTTTCAGCTGCCCATACTGCTGAGAGCGACTTTCATCTGCAATAAATTCTCTGCATATATCATCTTCAATTCATTCGTGCGACCTGATCCTTCCTGGACACCAGTCAAGAGCTCTGGATACCGAGGGCTGTCACACTGAGCTGTTAAACACTGAAGCCATCCGTGGATGGCAAAGCTGAAAGGGCACACTGTAACACATGCACTCTGGGGCTCTGGGGATCATGGTTATCCCCCTACTGCCACGGGGCTGCATAGAGTCCTATTCGTGCCAGTGCCCAGAAGCACTCATCCCGGTTGCTGCACTCGCTTACCTGCATGCTCCCCCTCCCAAGAGGGGTTGAGAGCTGTGTGCTGAGTAAATGAGCCACCTGCTTCACGAGTTCCATGAAGAGGTCAAGGGAACTATCCCATTTGGTGATCTTGCCTGTATGTGGCATTTATCTTACCACAGGGGACTTTCTTCAGTGACAAGATTTTCTCATAGATGGTGGTGAATGCCCTAGTAGCTTTTAATTGGCCATACCATGCCTGCTGTTTAGAATGTTACTTTTTTGCTCTTGGAAGATGTTCAGAAACAAGCAGGGAAAGATAAAAGAGCGAAAGCATTTGCAGATGCCTGTAACCAAACCAAAATGAAACCAAAATAACAGTACTCACAATAATGTTAAGCTGGATATGGAGACAAAGCAAAATATTAAGCAATACAGGCAAAAAACAAAAAATGAAAATATATTCACCAGAAAATACATAGCTCACAGACAGAATGTAAGTTGTGTATAAACCTCTCCAAGAAGATGCTGTTCTCATACAAGAAAGGGCTTGCCCAGAAAAGACATAAGCCTTTTATAGTACCAAGAAGTATGCAAAGACCTTTAATAAAGGTGGCCTTATAACAAAGCCGACATCTCGAGTAAAATCAAAACAAAGAATTTTTAGAATTCCAGAAGGGGATTCACCAGGGCAGAAAAGGTGACTCACAGGAGCAAAGGATACAAAGGGCTCAGTCAGCACCATGCGCTATCCCATAGGCTGCTGATCCGTCTGAGGCAAGTGTGCTACCACCCTACTTCTTGACATCAGATTATTTTGACCTAAATAACAGACAGAGAAACAATCGCCAAATAAAATACATTTATTGAGAATGAGTATTACAATGGGAATATGCATGGGCATATTCAGAGAAGTAAAGAGAGACAAGGGTCTTTAACAATGAGGAGGTTGGGCACGGTGGCTCACACCTGTAATCCCAGCACTTTGGGAGGCCGAGGCAGGCAGATCACCTGAGGTCAGGAGTTCAAGACCAGCCTGGCCAACACAGAAACCCCATTTCTACTAAAAATACAAAAAAAAAAAATGCCGGACATGGTGACACGTGCTGGTAATCCCAGCTACTTGGAAGACTGAGGCAAGAGAATCACTCGAACCTGGGAGGCAGAGGTTGCAGTGAGCCAAGATCACACCACTGCACTCTAACCTAGGCAACAGAGCAAGACCCCGTCTCAAAAAAATAAACAAATAAATAAAAAGAACAATGAGGAGGATTACATAAATTGTTTGGAAACAATTATCCTTGACAAGAATCAATAAAATGAGGGGCATTAGTTGCAGGATGGACAGGGAGTTCCTGGGTGGATGTCCTCACATAAAGATTTTTTGTGTGAGGTTGAGGTGGCCTTTGTGCGAGGCTACGTTTCTTGTAGTCTTTTGTGATAGTCCTTGTTACCTGGCATAGGTGCATGAGAACCCTCCCTTCATGGCCACCTAACTCCATTTTGCCAGGATCTGACAAAAGTGCCTCCATTTTATGTCTGACAATTTTCAAAATGTTATATATGTTATCAACTAAATTGTGTCTCACCCAATTTCATATGTTGAAGCCCCGACACCCTATATGACTATAATTAGGAGATAAAGCCTGTAGAAGGTGAAAAGGTTAAATGAGTTCATTGGGGGGAGACTCTTTTAAGAAGAAGGATCACCAGAGCTTTTTTCCTCTATCATGTAAGGACACAGTGTGAAAGTCTCTCTGCAAGCCTGGAAGAGACCCCTCACCAGGAATAGGATTGACACCTTGATATCAAACTCCCTGGCCTTCAGAAATTGAGAAATCAATTTCTCTTGTTTAACCCACTCAGTCTGTGGTAGTCTGTTGTGACAGCCCAAACAGTCTAATACGGTATACAAATATACCAGGCTACTGCTCATGCCTGTAATCCCAGTTACTCAGAAGGCTGAGGTGAGACTGTTGCCTGAGGTCAAGAGTTTGAGGCTGCAGTGAGCTGTGTTCACACACTGCACTCTAGCCTGGGTGACAGAGTGAAATCCTGTCTCAAAAAAAAAAAAAAAAAAAGTAAATATTGAAAATAGGTCAGTTCCTAGATACTTATGTACATTTCTTTGTTTGTTTTTAATGTCCTGTTTTTGTTTTTAACTTTGCTTTTCTCTTTCATCGTAGTCTTTCTGTTTACTGCCACAATGTCCCTTAAGCAACCCTGGGTCTATTTTCTTCTCCCAGTCCCATCTCGGGTCTCTAAGACCATCATTTGTCAATCTGACAGCACCTCCTCACAATCCTGTTCTTTGACTTCTTTGCTTTCAGGCTGAAATATAAATTCCTTCTCAAAACAGTGGGTCATGCCAGAGTAGAGAATATAGTGAGCTTACTTCTACAGGCTCTGAGAAATATAAAAACAAATGATACACACATAAAAGGTTTCTGGTCTATGAAGTATTATTTTTTTAATTATTTTTTGTTTGTTTTTGTTTTTCTAATTTGAGAAAAATGGTGCCTTTCACAGCTTGCTGTGTAGTAACTTAGTGTGTAAAATATTATACTTTATTTATTTACTGTGTTGTTGAACATTGGGCATCTTTCCTAATTTTGGCAGTTATGTTGTATGTAAAGGCTTTTGTAACAGTATTTATTTATCTTAAATAAATACTTAGAAGTCTAATTGCCAAACATTTTTTCAAGTGGTTGTACTATTTGGGTGTCTTACATCATTTTCTACATTTTAGAGTCACTCATTCTAGCCTTTATATTTTTAGTTAAATTTGTTTTGCTTAATATTTTCACTTGATATAGAATTCTAGGTTAGCACTTATTTTTCACCTTTCACACTTCAAACCTTTCATTAAGTGAGGAACATTTTAAAAGTCTCACTAATAATTTCTGAGTTACAGGCATGATAGCAAGTAGCATAATCCTCACCATAAATTTCAAAGCCCTAGCAATACAATTAAAAGAGTTGATATACAATGAGGTCCTCAACTGTCTCTGCCCTGTGAATCTCAGTGAAGATTGATAGTATCTTGGAAAACAATGTTTCTGTTAATGCTTAAAATAACAAAAAAAAAACTGACAGAAAAGGAAAGTGCTTAAGACCAGATCATTCACATTTCATGTTTGCACTACATTCTAATCTATATTTCATTAATGTAGCTGGTTCACAGGGAAACAGACAAAAAGTAAAAATTTGTTAGGATGCAATCCTAACTCTATCCAGCTAAACCTCAGTAGATGAAACCTGAGGAAAGCAAAGAAGGACAGAAACTTAGTTGCCAAACTGTAGCTTTCTATCACTCCAGGTACAATTCATAGAGCAGGGGCTGTAAAAATCAACATCCAGTCCATCAGTTTATATTATAATGGAGGAAATAAACCTCTCAAGGGAAATAGGTCAGAAAATCAAGAACTTTCACCTCTGGTGTTTTGAAATGAACTCATAGGCCGAATTAAACTATATTCATTAAATATAAATTAGCATGATATTTCCTCTCATCAAAGTCTACAATAGAATCTACAATGGAATGATAAACAATAATTTAGCTATGTGAAATGAATGAAAAAGAAATCATAAAAATGTTGGGGGAAAAACGAACTTGCATCAGTAGATTTGACAAAGTAAACTAAAACATTTCTCTTAGTATTTACTCCACCTAAAATCATGATTCCATAATGCTATCCAACATTTAATGAATATATAACATTCTGCCCAGACTCATTTTCCATCAGCATTATTTACCTCACAATTAAAAAGATCTAAATCCTTTACTCAATATATTTACATGGCTTTTTGGAGCATGTCAAGTAATTTAATATACATATATCATATGTATATGTGTACATATTATATATAACATGTCAATACATATGATATGTTAAATACATATTATATAATACATGTAAATATATGTAATATATACATATATGATATAGGTTATATGTTACACATAGGTGATGTAATATACATATATATGTAATAATATAATATATAATACATATAACAACATATTTATTGTGTTATGTATAATACATAATTTATGTACATTATGTATACATGTACACATACGTATATATTTTATACATACATATAAAACCACTGTTTTTCAATATATAATGTTTATCCAATTCATGTGAATTCGGGATTCATAATTGTGGCTTTATTTGGACTCACATATAAAATATCTAGGTCTTAGAATCAGTAACTTTATACTTAGCATATTTATATTATTGTAAAAAGACAAAAATGTCTAAATATGCCTACACATATTTTTATTATATACACTATATAACATCAGTTAGCATCTTTCTTATAACATTTATTTTTCTGTAAATGATTTGTATATTCCAGGAGGTTTTATTTTGCAGTCCTTACCTCCAGTATCTACGAATAAGGTACATTTTTATGTCTAATAATTTTTTTTTCTAAAGTTTACTTTGTCCGAAATTAACAGAGGTTGTCCAGCTTTTTTTAGTCAGTGTTTATGTAGTATATACTTCTCCCTCTTTTTATTTTCAACAATCTATTTATATAAAAGTGAGTTTATTGTAGATGGAAAAGAATAAGATATTTTCTTTTTAATCTAATCTGACACTCTTTTAACTGGAGTGTTTAGTTTATTGACATTTTAAGTGATTAGTCATGTTAAGACCCATTTTCCTGGAGGTTTTCATATTTCTTTAGTCATTTTTCCCCCATGATTTTCTAACTTCTGTAAGTTTGATTGAGCTTTATTTTCACACCAACTTCCTATTTCCTCTGTCATCTCCCTTCCCTGCCCCAAACTACAGCTCCTGGTAACTGCCATTATACTCTCTGTTTCTGTGAGTTCAGGTTTTTTAGATTTAGCATACAAGTGCAGAATTTGTCTTTTTAGGCCTGGCTATTTAACTCAATGTTATGCAACTTCAATTAATGTTTTTGCAAATGACAGTTTTTTTTAATGCTGAATATTATTCCACTTAATATGTATATCACATTTCCTTTATCCCTCAGTGGCCACTTATGTTAATTTCATATTTTGGCTATTGTGATTAGTGCTGCAGTAAACTTGGGAGTTCTTTTCAACACATTGATTTCCTTTCCTTTGAATATATATCCAGAAGTGGGACAGCTAAGTCATGTAGTAGTTCTATTTCTAATTTTTTGAGGTGGATATACAGATGCCTGTACTAATTTACATTCCCATCAGCAGTGCACAATGGTTCTTTAGTCTCTACATCCTCACCAACACTCATTGTCTTTTGTTCTTTTGATAATAGTTATTCTAACAAGTGTCAGGTAATACCTTTTCATGCTTTTGATTTGCATTTCCCTGATGGTTAGTGATTTTGAGCATGTTTTCTTAATACCTTTTAGTCATTTGTATGTCTTCTGTGGAAAATATCTATTCAGGTTCTTTACCCATTTTCAATCAGGCTATTTGTCTTCTTGCTATTTAGTTGTGTGAGCTCCTTATATAATTTAGATATAAACCCCATATCAGATGTACAGCTGCAAATATTTTCTCTTATTACATAGGTTGTCTCTTCACTCTGTTGTTTATTTTGCTATACAGAAGCTTGCTAGTTTGTATAATCCCATTTGTATATATTTTTTGCTTTGGAGGTTTATGCTTTTGGAGTCGTAAGCCTTAAAAATTATTGCTCAGACTAATGTCAATAAACTTTTTTTCTTTGTTTTCTTCTAGCAGTTTTACAGTTTCAGGTCTTACATTCAAGTCTTTAATCCACTTTCAGTTGATTTTGTAAATGGTCTGAGATAAGGGTTTGATTTCATTCTTCTGCATGAGGATATCCAGTTTGCAAAAAAAGATTTAATAAAGAGAATGCCTTTTCCTCATGTGTTTTTAGCATTTTATTTAAATATCAGTTGACCATACATATGTGAAATTATTTCTGGGCACTCTATACTGTTTCATTGGTCTGTATTTCTGTTCTTATGCCAAGACTATGCAGTTTTGATTATGATAGCTTTGTAGTATAGTTTGAAAGAAAATAGTGTGATGCCCCAGCTTTGTTTTTGTAGTTGTTGTTCAAAAATATTTTGGGTATTTGGGGTCCTTTGTGGTTTAATATGAATATTAGAACTGCTTTTTGCATTTGTGTCAAAAGTGCCATAGGAATTTTTGGTGAGGGTTACCCTGAATATGTAGTTCCCTTTGGGTAATATAGACATTTTTACAATATTATTTCTTCTGAGCCGTAAGTATAAATTTATTTATTTCTTTGGCAGTTTCTTTAATGAAATGTTTTATGGTTTTTAGCATACAGATCTTTCTCTCATTGGTTAAATTTATCCCTAAGTATTTTATTTTATTGATTCTATTATAAATAAGATTGTATTTTAAATTTCTTAAAAGTTTCTTAGTACATAGAAGAGCTACTTATTTTTGTATGCTTATTTTGCCTAGTGCAACTTCACTAAACTTGTCATTTGCAAAAAAAGATAATTTTACTTATTCCTAGCCTATTTGGAAGTTTTAAATTTGTTTAACTTAATTGCATAGCTAAAACTTTCAGTACTCTGTTGATTACAAGTACTGACAATGGGCACTCTTACCTTTTTTTTTTTAAGACAAATTCTCACTCTGTTACCTGGCTGGAGTGCAGTGGTGGGATCTTAGCTCACTGCAACCTCTGCCTCCTGGGTTTAAGCTATTCTCTTGCCTCAGCCTCCCGAGTAGCTGGGACTACAGGCACATGTCACCCCGCCCAGCTAACTTTTTTATTTTTAGTAGAGATGACATTTCACCATGTTGGCAAGGATGGTCTCGATCTCTTGACCTCGTGATCCACCTGCCTTGGCCTCCCAAAGTGCTGGCATTACAGGCGTGAGCCACTGCATCCAGACGTGCCATTTTTTCTGATCTTAGAGGAAAAGCTTTCAGCTTTTTCACTATTGAGTGCAATGTTACATATGGGCTTGTGATATATAATGTTTGTTATGTTGGTGTACATTTCTTTTATACCTAAATTGTTGAGTTTTTAATGATGAGAGAATGGTGAATTTTGTCTAATACTGTTTTATCATCTATTGAAATGATTATATGATTTTTATTCTGTATTCTGTTATTATGATATATCATATTAATTTATTTATGGCAAATCATCCTTGTACCTCAGGGATAAATCCCCCTTGATTATGTGTATTATTCTTTTAATGTGAAGTTGAATATAATTTGTTACTATTTTGTTAAGGATTTTTGTACCTATGTTCATATTGGCCTGTAACTTATTTTTTTCTTGTAGTGTCCTTGCCTAGCTTTGATATCATGGTAACTCTCATCTTGTAAACTAAGTTTGAATGTGTTTCTTCTTCTTCACTGTTTTGGAAGAATTTCAGAAGGATTGGCATTAACTCTTTCTTAAATGGTTGGGTTGTGGTAATTAACCAATGAAGCCATCAGGTACTGGTCTTTTTAATTAGTGATTTAATTTTCTTTCTCATTATTGGTGATATGGTTTGGCTGTGTCCCCATCCAAATCTCAACTTGAATTTTATCTCCCAGAATTCCCTCGTGTAGTGGGAGGGACCCAGGGGGAGGTAGTTGAATCACGAGGGCCAGTCTTTCCTACGCTATTCTCGTGATAGTGAATAAGTTTCATGAGATCTAATGGGTTTATCAGGGGTTTCCACTTTTGCTTCTTCCTCATTTTTCTCTTGCTGGCACCATTTAAGAAGTGCCTTTTGCCCCGCACCATGATTCTGAGCCCTCTCCAGCTATGTGGAAGTGTAAGTCCAATTAAACCTCTTTTTGTTCCTACTTTCGGGTATGTCTTTATCAGCAGCATGAAAACAGACTAATACAATTGGTCTGTTCAGATTTGTATTTCTTCATGATTTAGTCTTGGTAGATTGTATGTGTTTAACATTTTTTCTATTTTTCCTAGGTTATCCAAATTGTTGGCATATAATTGTTCATAGTATTGCCCATAATCCTTTGTCTTTCTGTGAAATCATTTTTAATGTCTCCCCGTTCATTTATAATTATGTTTATTTGAGTATTGTCTCTTTTTTCTTAGTCAGTCTAGCTAAAGATTTGTCAATTTTATGTTCTAAGAAACCAAATCACACTTTTATTAATATCTTCTATTGTTTGTTTTTCTAGCTTTTTTTCTTCATTCATTTCTGCTCTGATCTTTATTTACTTGCTTCTACTATGGGCTCAGTTTCTTCTTTTTTTCTACTTCCCTGAGGTACAAATTTAATTACCTGTTTTTTTAATTAACGTAGGTATTTATTCATATAAATTCCCCTTAGAGCTGCTTTTGTAGCATTCCATAAGTAATTATTCTCAGAGGCATGAAGTGAGTTAATTTTCTCATATTTTTAAGATTTCCAATTTTCCTCCCATAATAGATTTCTAGTTTCATATCATTACAGTTAAAAAATACACAATATGATTTCAGTCTTCTTAAATTTGTTAAGACTTGTTTCATGGCTTATCATGTGCTCTATCTTGAAGAATCTTCTGTGTGCATTTGAGAATAACATGTACTTTGCTGCTGTTGGATGGAATACTCTGTTGGATGGAATGTTTATTAGGGTTGAGCACAGTGGCTCACACCTGTAATCTCAGCACTTTGGAAGGTAAAGGTGGGAGGATTGCTGGAGGCCAGCAGTTTGAGACCAGCCTGAGCAACATAACCAGATCTTGTTTCTACAAAAAAAAAAAAAAAAAAAAAAAAAAACCGGGAAAAATAGCTGGGCATGGTGGCACATACCTGTAGTTCTAGCTACTTCAGAGGCTGAAGAGGGGGGATTGCTTGAGTGTAGACATTCCAGGCTGCAATGAGCTATGATTGCACCACTGCACGTCAGCCTGGGTGAAACAGCAAGATTCTGTCTCTAAATAAATTTTTAAAATAAAAAAAAATATATATATATTTATATTTATATATACATATTTGTTAGGTCCATTTGATCAGTACCATTGTTCAAGTCCACTGTTTGCTTATTGATTTTTCTGATTAAGCTTTTTAGTAGTAGTTTTATACCCTTATTGATATTAGTCATATCTCTTTTAAAACTCCTTAAGGATTATAAGCTTTACAATACACATTTTTAAATCACCTGACGCTATCTTTAATAGTGTCACTCTGCCTTATATGTAGAAAAACTAACAGAATATTCCCAATTCCTCTCTCTAATTTCTTCTGCAATAACATTATGGTAATACATTTTTTAAGATAAGATAAGGTTGGCCAGGGGTGGTGGCTCATGCCTGTAATCCTAGCACTTGGGGAGGCCGAGGCGGGCAGATCATGAGGTCAGGAGATCTAGACCATCCTGGCTAACACGGTGAAACCCCGGCTCTACTAAAAATACAAAAAAATATTAGCCAGGCGTGGTGGTGGGCGCCTGTAGTCCCAGCTACTTGGGAGGCTGAGGCAGGAGAATGGGGTGAATCTGGGAGGCTGAGCCTGCCGTGAGCAGAGATCGCATCACTGCACTCCAGCCTGGGCGACAGAGCGAGACTCCGTCTCAAAAATAATAATAATAATAATGATAATAATAAATAAAAATAAAAATAAAAAGATAAGGTTATGACACACAAGACATGATTAAATTTTCTTCTTCAAATAATTATCTTTTAAGAGTAATTTAAAATATTTTTAAATTATTTTTATTCCATTTCCAGTGATTTCTATTTATTTGCTTAGATCCAATATTACTTCAGCCTAATGAACCTCTCTTAACACTTTTTGTAGGTCTACTCAAAATGAATTTCCCCATTTTATATGAAGAAATCCTTATTTATATTTCTCTGATGAAGAGTATTTTCCTAGGCATAAAATCCTAATTTGTTTCTTCCTCCCACCCTTGGAACTTTACATATTTATTTGATTGTATTCTTGTTTCCAATATTTGTGATTAGAAATATGCTATATTTCTTATTGTTCTTGTGTAGATCATCTATCTTTTTCTCCAGTTGCCTTGCCTGCAATATCTTCACTTTGTCTTTGGAGTTTGGCGGTTTGAATCTGATACCGTAATGTTGTTTTTTAAAAAAATTCTGAAGTGTATTAATTCTGCTATTTCAATGTGGTTCTTTTATCTGTGGTGTGGCATCTATCATTAATTTTGAAAAAAAAGTTTGGTCATATTTTTTCAGTCATTTATTCTGCCCTGTTTTCTGTTTCTTCTGTTTCTGAGATTCCAGTTACATACATGTTAGATCAGGCAATATTTTACCACAATTCTTTGATATGGTGTTCTCTTTTACTCACCATTTCCTTCATAGCATTTGAGTTTCTGCAACTGCTATTGACATATACTTACATTCACAAATTATTTCATTCACTGTGTTTGGTGTACTTATGAACCTTCCATAGATATTCTTTGTTGTTGTATGTTAACATTTTTAATTTCTCATACTCCCTTTTGAATTGTGTTAACTTTCCATCTTTCTGCTGAATTTATCCACTGGATCTTGCATATTGTTTACATTTTGAATAAGAGCCTTTAATATTAATCACAGTTTTTTTGTTTGTTTGTTTTTTTATTCACGGTTTTGTAGTCCCAACATCACTGTCTCATCTGAGTCTGATTTTGATTATTGCTTTGTCTCTTTAGAGTGTGGTTTTCTCGCCTTTTTGTAGGTCTCAGTGTTGTTTTGTGGAGCAGTAGATACAGCTGTAAATATTTCTTTTTTTTTTTTTTTTTTTTTTTTTTTGAGATGGAGTCTTGCACTGTTGCCCAGGCTGGAGTGCAGTGGTGCCATCTCAGCTCACTGCAAGCTCTGCCTCCTGGGTTCACGTCATTCTCCCACCTCAGCCTCCCTAGTAGCTGGGACTACAGGTGCCCGCCACCATGCCCGGCTAAATTTTTGTATTTTTAGTTGAGACGGGGTTTCACCGTGTTAGCCAGGATGGTCTGGATCTCCTGACCTTGCGATCCACCCACCTTGGCCTCCCAAAGTGCTGGGATTACAGGCGTGAGCCACCACGCTCGGCCAGCTGCAGATATTTCTTATGCTAGTAATTGAGCATACTTTCTTTATTCTATTTCTTTAGTGCATAAGTTTGTGTTAATTAAGTCTGGGATAATTTTAAAGTTTACTGTTGCTATTATTACCCTTGGTAAAGAGGTTCTTATTAACATGTCCTGGTTTGGCTATGGATATTCTTATTTGTGCTGCTCTTAAGAGACAATTTATCTTTTGCATCCTCCAACTGTATTCTTCTGATGTTTTTATTTAGTACTTGGTTGCTGGTGGGGAGAAAGATGAGAGAGTGTTTTCTGATGTTCTTTTTAAGACTTAGTCTCAGGCAGACACGTTGAATCTTGGTCATGGTGTGTCATTCACAGGTTTTTTTTTTTATTCTTGCTCTAGATAGAGGGCTGTGCCTCGCATATATTTCTGCCTAACTCTGTGTGGTAGAGCTTTGGTTTTCCTGTTTTTATCCTCCAGATTAAGTGGATTTTAACAGTGGTCTAAGCTATTTTTTTGTTGTTGTTGTTCTTTTCCTGCAGAATAAGGCTTTCCCTACTCCCTTCCCTCCCCCAGTAGGAGAGACTGGCAGTGGCATCTTTATTTTTCCCCCTAGCCAGAACCTTTTCCCCAGGGAAAGTTTTTCATTATTCTTGGTGACTTGTTCTGTAAACAAATATTGATTTTTCCTGAAAGTGGGTGGTGGCCGTCTCACATCTATGCCCCCTCCTTTACATTTTCATTCTATTCGATACTTACACTTTTTAAAAGCCAAGCTCTGCTTTAATCATCTTACTGACTCATATAATGTTTCACGGCATTTTTCACAGGTAATCAAATGCCCGGGTCCTGTTGTTTCTCCCAATTGTCTGTCTCTGTCTAAATGTTATGTTATTTTCCTCCCTGGGTTCATAGTTTTCTGTTGGACTAAAGAAAAGCCATTAATTTTCTTTGTCCAGATTTCTTCTTGTTGTAAAGGTAGGAGTAATAGATGTTCTACCTGGCGGCATGCTATAGATGAAATGCATACCCGCTCATTATTAACTAAGAGAGAAAAATCCTATTAATTGATGGTTTAAAATTTTTTTTAATGTTAAAAGTAGTCCACTTAAAAGTTTTTTACCATAATTTCTTTCCATAGCATATATGCCAAAACACGCCCCACGTACAAAACAAAACAAACAAAACCTTTACACCTATTATTTTGCTTACTGAATAAGTTATATTCATTTTATGACTTATAACAAGACAAGATTGCATATTTTTAATGCTGCTGCTAAATATGATAATGAAACCTCCAGCCAAGGCTATATCAATAGGAAGCACAAAACAAAGCTAAATTGGAAGGCTTTGAAAAGAGAAGGTGAAATTATTCTCTTTTTTTGCCCACAAAAGGGTCATCTTGAAAATCAAGTCTTAGCATTTTCACTTTATACTAGATTTACAAAATCAATAATATTTGATGTAGGTTTACTGTAAACTCAAAATACAATGAAAATAAAATAGCATTCAAAATCTAATGTGTCTAGGAATTAATCTTCAACACATGTACATAAGACTTCTACAATAAAAATTGAGGGGCTTGACTAGCTTATTTTAATAAGTACTAAAAACCATTTTATTAGTCATCTATTGCTACATAAGGAATTACCCCAAAACTTAGAATCTTGAGAAGAGGTAAAACATATGCATTGATTATATACAATTTTTATGGATCAGAAATAGAAGTATGGCTTATCAGGGTCACATGCTTCAGGATCTTACAAAAGGCTATTCTACAAACTCTCACAAAGCTGATAAAAGACGCAACTGGGTCAGAATCTGCTTCTAAATTAATTCAGTGTTTGTTGATGGGACTCAATTTCCATGAAATTTTGGATTGAGAACCTCAGTTTCTTTCTGGCTATTGGGTGAAGGCCATCCCAGGTATTGACAATACGGGCCTCTTTGACATGACAACTTGCTTCGCCATAGCCAGAAAGAAAGAGTTTGCTAGTAAAATAGAAGTTACAGTATTTTATTACAGAAAAATTCCACTATGCTTGATATAATCTATTTTTAGAAACAAGTGATTGAAGGCAGCTTCACTCTTCGCAAGAGTGAAGGAAGCTGCAGAACACTTTGAAGCTAGCAGAGGTTGGTTCATAAGGTTTAAGGGAAAGAAGCCAGCTCCATAACAACATAAAAGTATAAGCTGAAGAAGCAAGTGCTGATGTAGAAGCTGCAGTAAGTTATCCAGAAGATCTAGCTGAAGATAATTGATTACTGTGGCTATACATAACAATAAATTTTCAATCTAGATGAAGCAGACTTGTATTGGAAGAAGATGCTATCTAGAATTTTTATACCAACAAAGGAGAAGCCAATGCCTGGCTTCAAAGCTGAAAAGGACAGGCTGACTCTCTTGTTAGGGAATAATGTAGCTGATGACTTTTAGTTGAAAACAGTGCTGATTTTGAATTCCAAAAGTTTTAGAGCCCTTAGGAATGATGCTAAATCTACTCTGTGTTCTATCAATGGACATCTATCATCTACAAAGTGTAGATGACAGGCGCATCTGTTCGTAGCGTGGTTTACTAAATATTTGAAGTGCACTGTTGAGACCTGCTTCTCATGAAAAAAAAATTGTTCAAAATATTATTGTTCATTGACAACACACCTAGTCCCTCAAGAATTCTGATAGAGGTGGGCAAGGAGATTAATGTTGTTTTCATGCCTGTTAACAGAACATTCATTCTGTAGCCCATGGATCAAGGAGTAATTTTGTGTTTCAAGTCATTTAAGAAATACATTTTTTAAGGCTACAAAATACATTTTGTAAGGTAACTGCCATCAGGAGTGATTCCTATAATGGCTCTGGTAAAAGTAAATTGAAAACCTTCTAAAAAGGAACCACCACTTTGGAGGCAATTAAGAACATTTCTGATTCATGGGGAGATGTCAAAATATCAGCCTTAATGGGAGTTTGGAAGAAATTGATTCTAATTCTCATAGATATCTTTGAAGGGTTAAAGACTTCAGTAGAGGAAGTTTTGAACTGCAAATGTGCCGGAAGCAGCAAGATAGCTAAAATTAGAAGTAGACTCTGAAGATGTAACTAAATTGCCGCCATTTCATGATACAACTTGAACTAATGAGGAAAAAAATATGATATCTTGTGATGAATAAAGTAGGGGCAGGGGTTGAGAAGATTTATGCTAATTTTGAAAGAAGTTGTACTATGGGTAAAATCCATTCAAACAGTATCAGATGCTACACAGAAATCTTTCATGAAAGAAAGAATAAATTAAAGTGGCAAACTTCATTGTGGTCTTATTTTAAGAAATTGCCACAGCCACCCCAGCTTTCAGCAAGCACTACCCTGATTAGTCAACAGTTATCAGCATCGGGGCTAAACCTTTCTCCAGCAAAAAGAATACAACTGGCTGAAGGATCAGATGATTGTTCGCATTTTCCAGTAATAAAGTATTTTATATTAATGTATGTACATTTTTACACCTAATTCTGTTGCCCAACTAATAGACTATTAGATAGTCTATAACTTTTATATGTACTGGGAAACCAAAAAATTTGTGTGACTTACTTTACTGTGATAGTTGTTTTATTGTGGTAGCCTGGAATCAAACTTGCAATATATTCAAGATATACCTCTAATTAATTTGAAAAGAAAAAATATAAAATTAATAGAAGCAATGTGAAAAACATATTAAATTTTTATCCAGGGTAAATGTTGACTATTATTCTTACAACTTCAAAAGCCTAAATAATATTGTAAGAAATTAATCTACTTGCAGTGAAAATTGATGTTCTGGCTGGGTGTGGTGGCTCACACCTGTAATCCCAGCACTTTGGGAGGCCGAGGCAGGCAGATCACGAGGTCAGGAGACCCAGACCATCCTGGCTAACACGGTGAAACCCCAGCTCTACTAAAAATACAAAAAACTAGCTGGGCAAGGTGGCGGGCGCCTGTAGTCCCAGCTACTTGGGAAGCTGAGGCAGGAGAATGGCGTGAACCCAGGAGGCAGAGCTTACAGTGAGCCAAAATCGTGCCACTGCACTCCAGCCTGGGCGACAGAGCGAGACACCGTCCCAAAAAAAAAAGAAAAAGAAAAAGAAAAAGAAAAGAAAATTGATGTTCTATCAAGGAAATCATGAAAAAAGTTAATGGAGTTTAAAGAATGGAAAAAGGTGTTTATAAATAAAAAAGATTATTGTAGAAAGAATTAAAAGTAATGCTACAAATATGCAAATATGAAAAAATTGTTTCACTTTTATGGACAGGTAATTAACAGATGAAATATATAGATGAACAAGAAGAATGATAGAAAGTTATCCAATAAATGAAAAATTAAAAAATCAGTGTATATTACTTTACATCTAAAAGATAGGAAAAACATATGAAATAGCCAATATCAACATGTGGTGTAGACCATTCTGGAGCATAATCAGGCATTACTCAGAAAAATAAAGTATATTCTTGGAGTGACAGTTTCCCCTTTGTGTACATATTCCCAATAATTTATTACCTAAATTCCTAAAACTACAAGTACAAGGATGTACTGAAACAAATATATAATTTTATGGAAAGAAAATAAGCCTTTGCCTTTACCTAAAAGCCACTCACACACATTCAAATATAAAAATTAAAAGCATATCATGTCAATAAATAAAATAAATATAATGTTTGAAATGCTAGGTAGGCAAAGATATATTTTAAATAAATAATATAGTAAACCACTTATTTTAAATGATCAGTTAAACTTCATCAAACATAAAGTCCTGTGCTCTTCAGAGGAATATATTATGGAAATCAAAAGGCATCCTATCCTCATGCATTGCTTATGGAAATGTAGACCACATAACCATTCCAAAATACTATATAGGGTGGGGTGCAGTGGCTCTTGCCTGTAATTTCAACACTTTGGGAAGCCCAGGTGGGCAGATCACTTGAGTTCAGGAGTTTGAGACCAGCCTGGCTAACATGGTGAAACTCCATCTCTACTAAAAATACCAAAATTAGCCAGGTATGGTGGCACCTGTAATCCCAGCTACTCGGGAGGCTGAGGCATGAGGCTCGCTTGAACCTGGGAGGTGGAGGTTGCAGTGAGCCGAGATTGTGCCACTCTACTCCAGCCTGGGTGACAGAGCAAGACTGTCTAAAATAAATAATAAATAAATAAATACTGTCATCTACCATTTTTGGAGCAAATATTTAAAATAAGCATATTCTCCTATATTCTGTAAACTAGGAAATGTTATATGTGTATATCACAAAACACAACAATTATTAAATATACACATACAAGCGTATTCACTCAAGTATTTTTTATTACAGTAGAAAATTGACAGCAAATAGTGCTAATTGCTAAATAAGTAAAGTGGAGTATATTGAATCAACATATATCACCAATAACTAGGAGCAGGAGGTGAATGATCAAATAAATTAATCTTAAAAATATAGCTGGCTCAGTGGCTCACGGCTGTAATCCCAGCACTTTGGGAGGCCGAGGCGGGCGGATCACGAGGTCATGAGATCGAGACCATGACCCCGTCTCTACTAAAAATACAAAAAAATTAGCCAGGCATGATGGCGGGCGTCTGTAGTCCCACCTACTCGGGAAGCTGAGGCAGGAGAATGGCCTGAACCCATGAAGTGCAGCTTGCACTGAGCCGAGGTGGCGCCACTGCACTCCAGCCTGCTAGACAGAGCAAGACTCCGTCTTAAAAAAAAAAAAAAAAAAAAAAAAATATATATATATATATATATATATATATATATATATATATATCACAATGAGTGAAAATAGATACATTAGAATTGTTATCTAGTGGTGGGTAGAATAGTGTATGTGATATACAGTATAAAATAAAATAAGAAAAATAATGATTTTTATTTATTTTATGTTTATAGATTTAGGTATACAGGTGTAGTTTTGTTACATGGATACATTGCGTGGTGGTGAAGTCTGGGATTTTAATGTACCCGTCAACCAAATAGTGTACATTGTACCAATAAGTAATTTTTCATCACTCATCCCCCTCCTATCATCACCTTTTCCTATCATCACCTTTTTTGGAGTTCCCAGTGTATATTATTCCACTCTGTATGTCCAGGTGTACCCTTAATTAATTCCCACTTATAGGTGAGAATATGCAATATTTAACATTCAATTTCTGTTATTTTACTTAGGATAATGGTCTCAAGTTATAGCCATGTTTCTGCAAATCACAGAAGTTTAGTTTTTGCTGAGTATATATATATATATATATATATATATATATATATATATATATATATATATATATAAAACACTTTCTTTATCCAGTCATCCACTGATGGACACCACTTAGTTTTTCCATGACTTGGCTATTGTGAATAGTGCTGTGATGAATATATAGGTACAGATGCCTTTTAAAAACTGACTTACTTTCCATTAGGTAGATACTCAGTAGTGAAATTGCTGAGGCAAATAGTGGTTCTATTTTTGGTTCTTTGAGAAATGTCCATACTGCTTTCCATAGAGGCTGTACTACTTTACATTCCCACAAACAAGTATAAACATTACCTTTTCTTTGCATCCTCGCCAACATCTGTTAATTTTTTACTTTTTATTAATGGCCAGTCTGTCTAGTGTAAGATGATATCTTGTGGTTTTAATTTACATTTATCTCATGATTATAGAAAATCAATACAAAGGATCAATGGAATGAAAGTTTGGTTCTTTGAAAAGATAAACAAAATTGATAAACCACTGGTTAGATTAACCAAGAAAAAGAGAGGATCCAAATAAGCAAAATCAGATATGATAAAATGCGACATTACAACCAATACCACAGAAATAAAAAAGAACATTAGATACTACTTTGAGCACCTCTATGCACACAAACTAGAAAATCTAGAGGAAATGGATAAATTCCTGAAAAGAAACCAACCTCCCAAGATTGAATACTGAAGAAACAGAAATCCTAAACAGATAAAAATTAGGCCGGGCGCGGTGGCTCACGCCTGTAATCCCAGCACTTTGGGAGGCCGAGGCGGGTGGATCACGAGGTCAGGAGATCGAGAATATCCCGGCTAAAACGGTGAAACCCCGTCTCTACTAAAAATACAAAAAAAAATTAGCCGGGCGTAGTGGCGGGCGCCTGTAGTCCCAGCTACTTGGGAGGCTGAGGCAGGAGAAAGGCGTGAACCCGGGAGGCGGAGCTTGCAGTGAGCCGAGATCCCGCCACTGCACTCCAGCCTGGGTGACAGAGCGAGACTCCGTCTCAAAAAAAAATATTAGTAGTGAATTTAAATCAGTAATAAAAAATTTATCATAAAAAAGCCCAAAATAGGACAAATTTACAGCTTAATTTTACCATACTTAGAAAAAAGAACTGGTACCAATCCTACTGAAACTGTTCCAAAAAATGAGGAGGAGAGAATCATCTCTAATTTATTCTATGAAGTCAGTATTACCATGATACCAAAGCCAGGCAAGGAAACAACAACAACAACAAAAACCTACAGGCCAATATCTCCAGTGAAGATAGATGCAAAAATCCCCAATAAAATATGAGAAAACCTAGGTTTTCTTCTAGGGTTTTTATGGTTTTAGGTCTAACGTTTAAGTCTTTAATCCATCTTGAATTAATTTTTGTATAAGGTATAAGGAAGGGATCCAGTTTCAGCTTTCTACATATGGGTAGCCAGTTTTCCCAGCACCATTTATTAAATAAGGAATCCTTTCCCCATTGCTTGTTTTTCTCAGGTTTGTCAAAGATCAAACAGTTGTGGATATGCGGCGTTATTTCTGAGGGCTCTGTTCTGTTCCATTGATCTATATCTCTGTTTTGGTACCAGTACCATGCTGTTTTGGTTACTGTAGCCTTGTAGTATAGTTTGAAGTCAGGTAGCGTGATGCCTCCAGCTTTGTTCTTTTGGCTTAGGATTGACTTGGCGATGCAGGCTCTTTTTTGGTTCCATGAGAACTTTAAAGTAGTTTTTTCCAATTCTGTGAAGAAAGTCATTGGTAGCTTGATGGGGATGGCATTGAATCTATAAATTACCATGGGCAGTATGGCCATTTTCACGATATTGATTCTTCCTACCCATGAGCATGGAATGTTTTTCCATTTGTTTGTATCCTCTTTTATTTCATTGAGCAGTGGTTTGTAGTTCTCTTGAAGAGGTCCTTCACGTCCCTTGTAAGTTGGATTCCTAGGTATTTTATTCTCTTTGAAGCAATTGTGAATGGGAGTTCACTCATGATTCGGCTCTCTGTTTGTCTGTTGTTGGTGTATAAGAATGCTTGTGATTTTTGTACATTGATTTTGTATCCTGAGACTTTGCTGAAGTTGCTTATCAGCTTAAGGAGATTTTGGGCTGAGACAATGGGGTTTTCTAGATATACAATCATGTCATCTGCAAACAGGGACAATTTGACTTCCTCTTTTCCTAATTGAATACCTTTTATTTCCTTCTCCTGCCTAATTGCCCTGGCCAGAACTTCCAACACTCTGTTGAATAGGAGTGGTGAGAGAGGGCATCCCTGTCTTGTGCCAGTTTTCAAAGGGAATGCTTCCAGTTTTTGCCCATTCAGTATGATATTGGCTGTGGGTTTGTCATAGATAGCTCTTATTATTTTGAGATACGTCCCATCAATACCTAATTTATTGAGAGTTTTTAGCATGAAGCGTTGTTGAATTTTGTCAAAGGCCTTTTCTGCATCTATTGAGATAATCATGTGGTTTTTGTCTTTGGTTCTGTTTCTATGCTGGATTACATTTATTGATTTGCATATATTGAAGCAGCCTTGCATCCCAGGGATGAAGCCCACTTGATCATGGTGGATAAGCTTTTTGATGTGCTGCTGGATTCAGTTTGCCAGTATTTTATTGAGGATTTTTGCTTCAATGTTCATCAAGGATATTGGTCTAAAATTCTCTTTTTTGGTTGTGTCTCTGCCCGGCTTTGGTATCAGGATGATGCTGGCCTCATAAAATGAGTTAGGGAGGATTCCCTCTTTTTCTATTGATTGGAATAGTTTCAGAAGGAATGGTACCAGTTCCTCCTTGTACCTCTGGTAGAATTCGGTTGTGAATCCATCTGGTCCTGGACTCTTTTTGGTTGGTAAGCTACTGATTATTGCCACAATTTCAGATCCTGTTATTGGTCCATTCAGAGATTCAACTTCTTCTTGGTTTAGTCTTGGGAGAGTGTATGTGTGGAGGAATTTATCCATTTCTTCTAGATTTTCTAGTTTATTTGCGTAGAGGTGTTTGAAACTGAATTTAACATCACAGCAAAAAGATACCACTCCACAGTCAAGTAGGTTTTACTCCAGGGATGCAATGATGATTCAACATAAACAAATCAACAAATGTGTTTCAACACATAAACAGAACAAAAAACAAAAGTTATAATATCATCTCAATAGGTGCAGAAAATGCATTCTAAAATTCTAACATCCATTAATGATTGAAAGCCTTAAGAAACTACGATTCAAAGGAACATACCTCGAAATAATGAAAGTCATATATAGAAAACCCACAACCAACATTATACTCAATGAGGAAAAGTTGAAAGCATTCCCCCTAAGACCTGGTACAAGACAAGGATGCCGATTTTCACCACTCCTACTCAACATAGTACTGTATGTCCTAGCGAGATAAATTAGGAAAGAAAAAGAAATAAAAGGCATCCAAATTGGATAAAAAGAAAGTCAAGTTATCTCTGTTTACTGATGACATGATCTTATGCCTAGAAGACCCTAAAGACTCCTCCAAAGCATTCCAAGATTTGTAAAATGTCTTCAGTAAGGTTTCAGGATAGAAAATCAACGTACAAAAATCAGTAGCATTTCTACACACCAATAAAGTTCAAACCGAGAACCAAATCAAGAATGCAATCCGATTTACAATAGCTACAAAAACTCAACATCTAGGTATACATTTAACCAAGGAGGCAAAAGAGCTCTACACGAAGAATCTAGAAAACACTGATGAAAAAATCATAGATTATAACAAAAAAATGAAAAAAAAAACTCATGTGTATGGATTGGAAGAATCAATATCATTAAAATGACCATACTATGCAAAGTAATCAGAAGATTCAATGCAACTTCTATAAAATTGTCAATGTCATTTTTCACACAATAAGGAAAAACTAATTCTAAAATTCATAATGAGAGGTGAAGCCGGCTGGGCTTCTGGGTCAGGTGGGGACTTGGAGATCTTTTCTGTCTAGCTAAATGTTTGTAAACTCACCAATCAGCACTCTGTAAAAACACACCAATCAGTGCTCTGTGTCTAGCTAAAGGTTTGTAAATGCACCAATCAGCACTCTGCAAAAACGGACCAATCGGCACTCTGTAAAATGGACCAGTCAGCAGGATGTGGGCAGGGCCAAATAAGGGAATAAAAGCTGGCCACCAGAAGCAGCAGGAGCAACCTGTTGGGGTCCCCTTCCATACTGTGGAAGCTTTTATCTTTTGCTCTTTGCAATAAATCTTACCGCTGCTCACTCTTTGGGTTTGCACTACCTTTATGAGCTGTAACACTCACCACGAAGGTCTGCAGCTTCACTCCTGAAGCCAGAGAGACCACAAACCCATGGGGAGGAAGAAACAACTCCTGATGTGCCACCTTTAAGAGCTGTAACACTCACTGCAAAGGTCTGCAGCTTCACCCTCGAAGTCAGCAAGACCAGGAACCCACCAGAAGGAAGAAATTCTGGACACATCTGAACATCAGAAGGAACAAACTCCAGACAAACTATCTTTAAGAACTGTAGCACTCACCGCGAGGGTCTGAGGCTTCATTCTTGAAGTCAGCGAGACCAAGAACCCAAAGGAAGGAACCAATTCTGGACACGATATGAAACCAAGAAGAGTCCAAATAGCCAAAACAATCCAAAGCAAAACACAAAGCTGGAGACATTTCATTACCTTATGTTAAATTCTACTACAAGGGTACAGTAACCAAAATAGCATGGCATGATGGGTAGTCACTTCCTTAATTGAAATGCAGCTTTAGTATACTTTTTACTACATGGAGATGAACTAATACATTTATGTTTTTATCAGAATCTGTATCACCCAGCACTGGCCAATGTACTAGTAGCTTTTCACAGGGACTTTTTTTTTTTTTTACTATTCCTATAAGGTTTTTATCATGAATAAAAAAGCTCACAACTCTTTTCAGCCACTGCAGATTTACATTTATCTTAAAATTCCTGTTCAAGATGCTTTGGAGAACTGTTAAGAACTACAAAATCACCCTAGGCAGAGTTTTGAATGAGTAATTTTATTTCACATTGGCCAAGATCTCCCTTATGTTGGCATTGCAAAGACATTTGTATTTTATGATATTAAAACAGGGATGCTAAAACTAAGAGGAAAAAAAAAAAAAGGAAATGAAGCTTTAGGCTGGAATGGTGGCTCATGCCCATAATCCTTGCACTTTGGGAGGCGAAGGCGGGTGGATCTCCTGAGGTCAGGAGTTCGAAACCAGCCTGGTCAACATGGCAAAACCCTGTCTCTACTAAAAATACAAAAATTGTCTGGGTGTGGTGGCTCATGCCTGTAATCCCAGCACTTTGGGAGGCTGAGGTGGGAGGATCCCCAGAGGTCAGGAGATAGAGACCATCCTGGCTAACACGGTGAAAGCCCTTCTTTACTAAAAATACAAAAAATTAGCCGGGTGTGGCGGCAGGTGCCTGTAGTCCCAGCTACTCGGGAGGCTGAGGCAGGAGAATGACGTGAACCTGGGAGGCGGAGCTTGCAGTGAGCTGAGATCACGCCACTGCACTCCAGCCTGGGTGACAGAGCAAGACTCCATCACAAAAAAATAAATAAAATAAAATAAAAAATACAAAAATTAGCTGGGCGCAGTGGGGGTTGCCTGTAATCCCAGCTACTCAGGAAGCTGAGGCAGGAGAATCACTTGAACCCAGGAGGCATAGGTGGCAGAGCTGAGATTATGCCATTGCACTCCAGCCTGGGTGACAGGGTGAGACTCCGTCTCAAAAAAAAAGAAAAAGAACAAAGAAATCCAGCTTTATTCCTTAAATCCTTTGTACTGTTTTTAACAAACATATTATGTACATATCATTTTTCTATATGTTAAAGGCTCTCCAATTCATTATCTATTTTGTACATTTCATTACATATTATTTTACACATTTACTTTTTAATCATTTAATAGAAGAAATGAGAAAAATATGTATTGATAATGTCATCTATATTCATAATTACCCTTTATTGGTGCTTATGTTAGTTTGTTTGGATTCAGATTATCTTCTCATTTTACTTGCTTTCATCCTGAAGATCTTTTAGTAATTCTTGCAAGACTGGTCTGCTAGAAAAAAATTTTTTTTGTTGTTATTTGTGGAAAAGACTTTTTAAAAATAGATTTCTTGGATCTAAGATTTTTGGTTGACAGTGTGGTTGTTGGTTTTGTTCTGTATTTTTTTCTATTGAGTATTTTGAATGTGTTATTGCACTGCCTGTTGGTCTGCATTGTTTTTGCTCATAAGTTAACTGTTAATCTTATTTTAATCTTATAAGAGAAATTTTTTTTTTTTTGCTTTTCTTTCTGCTGTCAATGTTTTCTCTGTCTCTTTGACTTTCAGGACTTTTACTGTGATGTATTTCTATGGATCTTCTTGCATTTGTTATTTTTGAATTTTTAAGCACTATGGATCCATATGTTGTTGTTCCTTTTAATAAATCTAGGTGTTTTCAGTGATTATTTCTTTATTATTTCCCCCATTCTCTCTTTGTTCTCCTTTTGGTTCTTACATTATGCATATATTAGTGGGTGTAATGGTGTCTCATTCCCATCTTCACTTGAGGTATGTGCATATGGTATATGGTGTATTCTAGCAAATGTTCTTGAAAACATCCATGTGTACTTGAGAAACATACGTTCTCTTTTGTTGAATGGAGTGTTCCATAGATGGCAGTATATAGGTACTCCTATCTCTCCTTTTAAAATTTGAGTAATCTCTTTTTATCTATTTTCAAATATACTACTTCTTTCTTTGGCCAGTTTAAATCTACTGTTGTGCACCTCTAGTAACGTTTAATTTGAATTACAGTACTTTTCAGGTCCACAATTTCTATTTTTTTAATTTTACAAATACTACTTCCTTATTGATATACTGTATTCTGTGTGATAGTCTCATCATACCTTCAATTGCTTGTTTAATTATACATTTCTTTAGTTCTTTGAACATGTTTCTAATGGCTATTTGAAATATTTCTTTTTCCTATGAAATTCCAAATCTGACCAGTTTCACAAGACAATTTCGGCTGTCTATTCTTTTTCTGGTTATGGCTCATAATTAAAAATAAAAACATAACTTTTTCTTCATTTTCCTGTTGAAAACTTGACCATTTAGATAATATATTATAGAAACTCTGAGCACTGCCTCCTCCTATGGGGCATTGGTGTTACTTGTGTGTTTACTTGTTTAATGACTGTTTGTGTTATTTTAGTGAAGTCTATCTGCTTTTCCTTCAATACACATACAATTTTAGGCCTCTAATTATGCTTCTCAGGGAGACATAGCTTTGAGCCCAACCTCAGTCACCTAGTGATGACAGTGATATTAGTAGTACTTTTTTTTCTCTCTCTCTCTGTGACAATATATAAACTCTACTAATTTGCAGCTATTGCTCTATTTTTTTTGTTTTGTCCCAGGAGGTTTCTTTAAGCTCTCATTTCTTGAATATCTCCTGCAAACTAACCAACTTATATTCTAAGCTATATATTCATTAAATCAATGACAATTAAATTAAATTAAGTCTCCTCACAATTGCCTTTCATCACATCCACTGTTCTTAAGAGTGAACTTAGGCTTGAACTTCTCCACTCTCTAGATCTAGTTTGATAAATAACATTTATGAAATATTTTAGTTTTATTCCTATTCTTTTGCTTTGTATTTTAGAATACTTGTTTATATTTTTAATTATTTTTGACAGAGAACTGCATTTTTAGTAAAAATGTATAACGATAAAAATTACTGCCATTCACAATCTTACTTTCTAATGAATAACTAGTCTCCCTCATTCCACATAGCCTTATCCTAATAGTCAATCACACAGTGTGTCCTATCCCTGGACTTAAGAACTGGGGATATGTTTTAAGCAAAATCAGTGTCTCACTTCTAAGAAATTCAATCTTGGAAATAACTAAAACAATAAGAACACACACACAATATGTTTATATTTAAATATATATATAAAATATTTAATCATTACATCCCTGATATGGTTTTGCTGTGTTCTCCCCCAAATCTCATCTTGAATTGTAGTGCCCATAATCCCCTGTTTGGTGGGAGTAACTCAGTGGGAGGTAATTAAATCACAGGGGCAGTTACCCTTATGCTGTTCTCCTGATAGTGAGTAAATTCTCACTAGATCTCATGATTTTATAAGAGGTTTCCCCCTTTGCTCAGCACTCATTCCTGCTGCCTCCCTGTGGAAAGGTGCCTTCCACCATGATTGTAAGTTTCCTGAGGCCTTCCCAGCCTCAGTGGAACTGTAAGTCAATTAAACATTTTTTCTTTATACATTACCCAACCTTGGGTATGTCTTCATAGCAGCATGAAAATGGACTAATGCAATCCCAAAGAGGTAATCCACAATAAATTGAAATGAATAAATCATAGTGAAAGAGAAATGCTTCCAATGACTCTGAACAGTTCAGAACAAGGAAATGACAAAGCATTTTTAAATTAAAATGATACTATTTCTTAGTAGTTGTGAGATAATCTGCAGAACTCTAAATACAATAAAATAAATAAGGATTGTCTGTGGGTTGCTTAATTCGGTTTTATTTCAATTGATACCTCATCTCTGTTTCTTGAGGAAAGTTACTGTATGAATGTCTTTCCACCTTTTGGAATGATGGCATTTGGGAAAACTATTGCCTTGAATCTTTCAAATCTTCAAAAGGCTTATCACTGAGTTCCTTCTAGGTAGTATTATTTTCTCATAGTAATTAAAATTAGCAATTGTCTGTATTATCTATAGTATCTCAATTAACATCAGCATGGATGAAGCTGGAAACCATCATTCTCAGCAAACTATCGCAAGGACAAAAAAACAAACACCGTATGTTCTCACTCATAGGTGGGAATTGAACACTGAGAACACATGGACACAGGAAGGGGAACATCACACACTGGGGCCTGTTGTGGGGTGGGGGGAGGGGGGAGGGATAGCATTAGAAGATATACCTAATGTTAAATGATGAGTTAATGGGTGCAGCGCACCAACATGGCACATGTATACATATGTGACTAACCTGCACATTGTGCACATGTACCCTAAAACTTAAAGTATAATTTAAAAAAAAGAAAAGAAAAGAAAAGGCTTGGCTGGGTGCAGTGGCTCACATCTGTAATGCCAGCACTTTGGGAGGCCAAGGCAGGTGGATCAACTGAGGTCAGGAGTTCAAGACCAGCCCAGACAACATGGTGAAACCCTGTCTCTACTAAAAACACAAAAACTAGCTGGGTATGTTGGCACAAACCTATAATCCCAGCTGCTTCGGAGGCCGAGGCATGAGAATCACTTGAACCCGGGAAGAGGAGATTGCAGTGAGCCAAGATTGTGCCACTGCACTCCAGCCTGGGCAACAAGGGTGAAACTCTGTCAAAAAAAGGAAAGAAAGCAAGAAAGAAAGAAGGAAAGAAAGGAAGGAAGGAAGGAAGGAAGAAAAAAAGAAAGGCTTGTAAATGGGATGCAATGGCAGGGCACAGAAAACATGATGGGGGATGTATAATGACCATAAAATATAAATGAATGTCATTTTCTTAGGAAATTAAAGTATAATTTTAACATTTATTATTTAAAAATGTAATATATATTTATAAAAATATGTTTTGAGGGAGCTAAGTATTATAGGTAATATGATACAGATGTTATCTTTTCTTCTTCATAAGTTGTGTTTAGAAGACTACATTATCAAAAAATAGAAAGCATGTTTAACATATATAAGACCTTATAAGACTATTTATCTTACTTTTACCTGTAGTTCTGACACATTATTCCTCCCCATCTTTTATTCATCGCAATGCCCTCTAGCATATTACCCATGAATATTTGACTGAAAATGAAAAGCATTTCACCCTGAATAATATAAAGTCTTTTGCAATAAGCTGGCACCAGATGAAAGTAGACTGATTCAAGGTAATAACTCTGGCTAGAGAAGGTCTTGAATAACACAGGAGAAGCAACATATTCCAAGGGAATAGAACTTAAAAAAATAGGTATTTTGGACCACTCATTGAAAGAGAGATGATGTGAGGCCAAAATCTACATCAAACCTCAGACATTAGCTAATTATTGTCAAATTTATTGAAACATATATTTGTCATTTTCTTTAGGACATAAACCATTCTAATTTTAATTTTTCAATAAACAAAGTAATCAACCTCATAATAACTGTCTCTAAGGAGACCTGGAGGATAGTGGGTTAGGCTAGTAATTATAATAAATAAGCATAGTTGTAAAAATTACAATAGGGTAAACATTTTGATTGGTTATTTTGGTAATGATTTTCTTCAAGTGAGGCTAAAGTTAGACACTATTGATATCCTAAGTTGTTACTAAATAGAAAGCTTTCATTGAATATGAAAATTTAAATAATCAGGTTAATATGATAATGAGAGGTGACAACGTGCTAGCAGACCTCGCTTGCTCTTGGCACCTCCTTGGCCTCAGCGTCCATTCTGGTTGTGCTTGAGGAGCCCTTCAGCCTGCTGCTGCACTGTGGGAGCCCCACTCTGGGCTGGCCGATGCCAGAGTGGGCTCCCTCTGCTTGTGGGGAGGCATGGAGGGAGAGGTGCGGGCAGAAACCGGGGCTGCATGCAGCGCTCGCGGGGGAGTTCCGGGTGGGGGCGGGCTCAGCGGGCCCCACACTCGGAGTGGCCAGCTGGCACCATGGGCCTTGGGCAGTGAGGGGCTTAGCACCTGGGCCAGCAGCTGCAGAGGGTGTGCTGGGTCCCCCAACACTGCCGGACTCCACCCACGCCACGCTCAAATTCTCGCCGGGCCTCAGCCACTTCTCCGTGGGGCAGGGCTTGGGACCTGCAGCCCACCATGCCCAAGCACCAGCCCCCAAGGTGGGCTCCCACGCAGCCCAAGCCTCCCCAACAGGTGCCGCCCCCTGCTCCATGGCACCCAGTCCCATCGATCACCCAAGGGCTGAGGAGTGTGAGCATGCGGTGTGGGACTGGTGGGCAGCTCCTCCTGCAGCCCTGGCATGGGATCCACTAGGTGAAGCCAGCTGGGCTCCTGAGTCTGCTGGGGACTTGGAGAACTTTTATGTTTAGCTAGAGGATTGTAAATGCACAAATCAGCACTCTGTGTCTAGCTCAGGGATTGTAAATGCACCAATCAGCACCCTGTCAAAATGGACCAATCAGATCTCTGTAAAATGGGCCAATCAGCTCTCTGTAAAATGGACCAATCAGCAGGATGTGAGTGGTGTCAGATAAGGGAATAAAAGCAGGCTGCCTGAACCAGCAGTGGCAACCTGCTAGGGTGGCTTTCCACAGTGTGGAACTTTTATTCTTTTGCTGTTCCCTAGAAATCTTGCTGCTGCTCACTCTTTGAGTCCAAGCCACATTTATGAACTGTAAGACTCACCACGAAGGTCTGCAGCTTCACTCCTGAAATCAGCGAGATGTCGGAACATCAGAAGGAAGAAACTCCAGACACATCATCTTTAAGAACTGTGACCCTCACTGTGAGGGTCAGTGGCTTTATTCTTGAAGTCAGTGAGACAAAGAACCCACCAATTCCGGACACAATAATACATTATTTGGCTGTAATATTTTTCGCTTATTCAGCCAGTCAAATTCTTTTCAAAGAGTCAATGAAGAAAGCTCCTACAGTTTTAGCATTTAAAACCATATTTGGAATTTAAAAACCTCAACTTTTTCTTGTCAAAATTGAACAGGTAACTTCAAAGCTATAACTAGTTTTTCAACAATGATGACCAGACATTTAGCTTTAACTTTGTACATAACATGAGAGGGCCAGTAAAATATCTTAAGGTAGTAAGAATTAACCAGACCACTTTCAGTAAAAGAAAAGTTGAGTTTTTATTTATGACACAGAAGTGTTTCTTACTCTTATGCCTATGTCTGCTTCTGTTTACTTAAGAGAAGTGCCGTATGTTCTCATGGTATATTAGAGCCTTTGCCAATGAGTTCAAATCACAATAAACAAATAAATATAGATGCTAATCCTAATTCCAACTTAAGGCTTCAATGCTTGCATTTTCTAAGGCTTCAATGCTTACATTGATGGAACATGGATATCAACTCGTAGTTCAGAAAGTACACTGCGTCATGGAGAATGTCACTCAAATGTGGCAGAGTATTTTTGACAAGATGGCATTAGCTTTAACAAACCACTAAACTACAGTAATCCATCTCTTAAAGATGGAGAAACGTTTTTAAAAATGTGTCACTAGGAAATTTTGTACTTGTGAGATCATATAATCCATTTATACAAATCTGGATGGTACGCCTTACCACATAATCTAAGCTATATGGTACGGCCTATTGCTCCTAGGCTACAAACTTGAACAGCATGTTACTGCAGGGAATACTATGGCTATTGTAACACAATGGTAGTATTTAAGCATATAAAAGCCATAGTAAAAATTTGTATTATAATCTTATGACACTTCTGTCATATATGTAGTCCTTTTTCAACCACGTATATTTCATGTGGTGCATAGCTGTATTTTGTTAAGGAAGTGATTCAATGTTATTAGGTGCTCTGAAAGGCCACTGGATACTGTAGTTGTACACAAATTTATGTAAATTTTTGGCTTAAATTGCAATCTTTTAGGTAATTCTGTATCAATGCTATGTTGTTATGAAAAGTATTTTGTGAGTCTTCAGATAATGATACATTCATTGCAGGCAAAGAAGCCAAGTACATATCTATTATATATATAAAATTCCAGTGAAATTTAATCACTGTACTTTCACTATACAAAAGTCTAAAATGGCTGTTTGGTCCCCAAGAAGAATGATGCTCACCTTTTATTTCATATGATACCAGCTTAGGCGCTGGGCATTTGCCAGTGGATATAGCTAGATCTCACTAGGCAAGACAAGGCTCATGTTCGCAACAAATACTTATCTTCCATCTCTTAAAGAAAAGATATTTGTTTAGCTCATGAGCCCTTTGCTCCCAAACTGATGAAGCTGATGATAAAGGCTGGCTGACATCTACAAGGTGCTTTATTCCATACAATTTTTTTTATGGTGGAAGGCATATCTCAGATAAGTTATCCCATTATTTCCTAAAACATTGAATCTGTAAAATATTTCACAATTCATAAGTCCCTAAATATTTTTTGAATTTATCTTCTCATGCTAATATGCATGTATCTTATTATGAAAACAAAGGTGCTTGCCAATTTCTGCTCACCAGATCTAATTAGCATTATGACATTAATACGTGGATAAGCATTGAGTATCAGTTGAATGTCATTAAATGAGGGTTCTTTGGGACTATTTTATGATTAAAATAAGAGAGTTAGCATAGTGAGGGGGCAAGACAGTGAACACGTACTTTTTTCTTTACTAAGTGAAAGAAAACTACTTTTGATATTCTCTACTGATGGCAATTCATAACACATTTGCTGGATAATTAGGGGAAACTAAGCATTAGAAGCTATGTTATTCTGCTACAGGCAGCTCCTATATCTGGCAGAGCAGCTGTAATTGTGGTTACCACCTGAAAAGTTATCCCACTATCATCTGTCACAATTTATACAAAGTTTGCAAG
Organism: Homo sapiens; assembly: GCF_000001405.40. Lineage (NCBI taxonomy): Eukaryota > Metazoa > Chordata > Mammalia > Primates > Hominidae > Homo > Homo sapiens. The sequence goes on along the minus strand of NC_000005.10, from coordinate 25,820,719 downwards.
GGCCACCACTATCTCAACATCCACCACAATTTGTTAGTATAACTAATCTCTATAGACTTTCCTAGAAAGGACAATTCTTTTTATTTAATGTCATTCTACTTTGTGGTCTTTATTCTTCATAAGATAAAAAATATGTAATGTTTCTGCCATTTGCTAGTTATCTGCATTCTATTGTATAATTTGAGACAAGGAAAACCACAAAATGCCTTCACAAAAACATTAACTCCACTGTGAGATGTGGACTAATACCCTGTCACGTGGTATTTTCAAGCCCCCTCTGTAACTGGAATGCTATAATGGGATGTTTTTTTCTAGTCCTCTAGCTTCGGTATCAGTTCATATATCATATTTAAGTATCCTGTCAGTATTCAGAAATTACCTTCTCTTAGGTGCAACAGTCACTAATGATTAGCCATAATTTCTCTGGGGAATAGATCAGGGACTAAATAACGTAATGATGTTTCTGGATCCTTCTTCAATGAGAAGAAGCCTCTCCATATACCTAATGGATTCTAGGTCTTTAAACTGATTTACATCAGGAAACTGCGTGAAGAAGCAGAATTTCCAGCTAAGGAAGCTGATGTTTGCTAGTTCTTAATTTGGCCTTTTGTACTAATCTAGAAAAATCCTCCTTAACTGAGCATCTCTTATCCATTGACAATCCCTATTTGCTTGCTTTTCCCACAAATATCTGCTCATCAGGACACCTGTTTATAAATCTGGGCTTATTTCCTATTTTATTAACTATGTTTACTTTGCCTCTAACACTTATTGTGACTTCTGGGCTCTTTAATTCCTAACTTCCAACATCTTCATTAACACTAATGATTATAGGCTCATGAAAACACCTTTTACCTCCAAACTAGCCTACAGAGACTGCTACCACCAAGCTTCTTAAAGATGCAGGCATATTGCCTTGCTAGTGTATTCCTTGCCACTTTTATATGAGGGGTGTCCTCTGGAATCTCCAATTTTACTCAGCAAGACCATTCAAACATTCACTTCCTAGAACCTCTCTCTCCCTGAATAACAATGCCAATACATTTCTGATATTTTCTCTTCATTTAATGTAGGCCACTGTTATGCTCAAACTCCAAAGAAACATATCAGCAGATTATTAAAATTTGCTTCAAGTTTCCTTGCTAAAATGTAGAATTCCTACTCATGGGTGAGTATAGTGAGTATCCTCTTGTTTAAAAAAAATGTTTTTTTTCTAAATTCACCTTAAACACTGTGTAACCTCATCCAACACTCTCAAGATGTATTAGCACTCACTATTCTTCTGTTCCTGGTACCATATATTTGCCAAGTATTATAATTTCTTTGGCATTCTTGACATATTTACTCTGGAGGAGGATTTCAATATCTTGCTCATGCTGCTTCTACGTGGATAATTAGTGTAGGCAGGTTAAGGTCATGAGGAAAGCAAGCTTTATTTTAAAGGGTGCTACGGTTATTGTACTGTCTCCAGGCAATATAGGGCTGTTACAATGACTTTTTCACATAGAAAACCACTAAATAATAAAAGGAACATTTTATTTATCATGATTTCAGACAAAGGCAATCAGCAATTTCTTCAAAACAATAGTTTCTAACTGGAGAATATAAATAGAACTCTAAATATTTTGTTTTATATGCATATGACAAGCAAGAAAGATTAATTTTTCTATTCTTTAATATATATGAATGTTTGCTATTTTCTGAATTTTGAAGGCCTTTATGTCATCTGTATTTTTTCTATTTTTTTCTGGGTAATAGGTTTATTTTTAAGTGCAGCATAGGTGTAAGTTATCGTGTTTTCTCAAAGAACACACCTTTGAAAGAATGACGTCCCCATAACCTTTCTTAACTAACTGCAAGCTGTTCTGGTCTTCTGGTCCTACTCTGGCAAGTATGATAATATTTAAGGCCATTATCTCTTATGTAAAATCTATATTTATGCTTATATCATTGTTGATTACTTATACAAAATGGGTTTACTTTATATAATTCATATATATACACACATGAAAATTGAGTATCTAGAATGAGATAAAATATTTAATATTCTCCCATTAAAATGAACAAAAATTTTTGTTTTTAATGTCAAGGTTCTCAGGAATGAATCAATGTCATTAAGTCAATAATACAGAGTTTATTTTGTATTTTGTATGGATATATATGTTATCTCATGATTCAAATTCTCATAATTCTCATAATCAAAATTCATTGAATTTGAATTATGAGATAGCATATATGCCTATACAAAATACAAAATAAACTCTATATTATTGCTTCAAATAAAATGGAAAGCAGAGTGCATTAGTTTGCTAGGGTATCACAGACTAGGGGGTTTAAAAAATAGAAATTTATTTTTTACAGTTCCGGAGACTAGAAGGCTAAGATCAAGGTGTTTGTCTTCATGGTTGGTTTCTTCTGAGTTTTCTCTTTCTCTAAGACTTGCAGATAACCATCTTCTCCCTGTATCTTGACATGGTCTTTGCTCTGTACCTGTTTCTGTGCAAATTTTCTCTTCTTAGAAGGACATCAGTTTTACTGGATTAGGGTCCATACTAATAATATAATTTTAACTTAATTGCCTCCTAGGCCCCTGTATCCAAATAGTCATATTCTGTGTTAGTGCGGCCTAGGACTTTAACTTGTAAATATTAGTGGGGGGGCAGAAATGTATCCCAAAATACAGACTTTTATGCTTATTATTTGGTGTGTGGACTTGCTAAACATATGGGGAATATTCTATATGTTCAAGAAGAAAGATGGCAAAAGGTAAATTCTATTTGACATCCAGTATTTAAGTGATTCTAAGACAATCAGCCAGAAAGCTTTCATGAGTAGGTGAAGGCCACAACATTTGAATTTTGCTTTTGTCTTTTTATTGCTATATTTTGTTGTTGTTGTTGTTGTAGTTATCAACTCTTTTTATTAAATCAAGTGTCACCAAATTAAGGTTTACCACTTCTTTTTTGTAAATAAGGTTTTACTGGAAACAACCTGCAGGGGCAGAATAGTGTGATGCCTTTTTTCACTCATCATAAGGATCACATCTGACAATCCTGTAACATAGACAGACTAACAAGAGAAAACCAAAACCAATTTATTTAATTAAAGTTTTACATGGCATGGGCACCTTCAGAAATGAGGACCCAGAGGAAACTCAACTTTTATGTTTAAGTTTAATAAAGAACAGACAGCTCTGTAGAAATAGGACTGGACAGGCCTGGCACAGTGGCTCATGCCTGTAATCCCAGCACTTTGGGAGGCCGAGGCAGGCACATCACGAGGTCAGGAGATTGAGACCATATTGGCTAATACGGTGAAACTCCGTCTCTACTAAAAATACAAAAAATTAGCCGGGTGTGGTGGCGGGCGCCTGTAGTCCCAGCTACTCGGGAGGCTGAGGCAGGAGAATGGCGTGAACCTGGCAGGCAGAGCTTGCAGTGAGCCGAGATTACGCCACTGCACTCCAGCCTGGGCGACAGAGCGAGACTCCATCTCAAAAAAAAAAAAACAAAAAAATAGGGATTGGACAAAAAGTATATGCTCTAATAGGGTAGATGGAGAGGAGAAACCCAGAAAGCCCTTTTTGTCCAGATTTATCTTGACCTCTCAGTGTAGCATTCCTTCCTCCACGGTATGGGGTAAGACTTCTTTTGAATAAGGGTCCTCAATGGAGAAGAAAAAATGGATAGAGTGACATCTCTAGGTATTGTGGCTTGCTTTGAGGAAAAAATGTTCTAGTTTCTATGACTTGCTTCGGGAGAGAAAAAAGAATGGAAGACAAAAATGTTGAAGAAGATCAAAGCAATCTTACTTCCAAGGCCCTTTCAATTGAATTTATTTCAAAGTACTCAGCATGTCAAGGTGCCACAGTTTGAGGTATCATGTTCTGAGCCTTGAAAATCCATAGCCATTAATTTACATACAATCTGTGTCTATTTTTCTGATACAGTGGCAGAATTGAGTAATTGTAGCAGAGGCCTTATGACCTGCAAAGCCTATTTATTATCTAGTCCTTCATTACAGAAAGTGTCCTAGTGTTTCTATCAGATCATTGACTCGTTCCTCTCTTGTATTCCTGTTACTAATTCCATGGTTTAAGAACCTAAAACAAACAAACAAACAAATTAATGTATTCTACAAGATCTACTTTCCATTGAGATTTAGAAATAGCTCAAAAGATCATGTTAACTGTAATAGATATAATTATTAATGTCGGTAATAAAACTTTCTTTTCTAGACTTATTCATTAGGTCTTTCAAATTATGATCAGTTATATAATCAAATACACTTCATTTAAATTATTTGTTTTAAATTATAGATTTGTCTTATAGGCATTTGGTTTCTATATTACTATTATAAGATAAAAGGTAATGCAATTTAATTATTTTATCACATCCTATGTTTAACAAAAAAGTATATCATCTTGGTTTAAAGGCATACACCAGCCATGCCAAATAAATCAATTTACATTTTTCTATTACTTTTACATTACTGTGTACAATAAGTTTTGTACATATCTGGTTAGCTTGTTTAAAACAGTTTGATATATATATATTGCCTTTAACATTAGCAGACATAGGTACAATATCAAACATTTGCAGCATTAATATAACTTAAACATACTAGAAAGGTGTTTTATAGACTGTTATGAAATGATCCATTAAACTTTATATATTATTTTAGAAGTGGAAAAAAGCAAGCACATATAGTTATATGGTAGAGGTTCATATTGGAACAGCTAGCCAAAAGAACATACCCATATTTAGTTTATGAAATGAATAAATTTAAGATAAGTTACTTAAATATGACCATCAAAGAAATGACGTATCAATGTTAGACATTTTTGACTTTGTTATGCAATTGAGATACCAAAATCTAATATTTTATTATATTTTTGAATATCCGGGAATTATACTCAAGAGACACAGAACTTTAAATAATGTAATATGCATCTTAGTTGGCTAATTTTCAATATGTCTAATTTAAAACTATTTTTTAAAATGAATGTAATATACACACAATGTGATGTTTAATTTTATGTGTCCACTTGATTAGGTTAAGGGATACCCAGATGGCTGGTGAAACATTTCTAGGTGTGTCTGTGAGGATGTGTTCCAGGAGAGATTAACATTTGGATCAATGAACTGAGTAAAAAATGTTCATTGTCACTAATGTGAGTGGGCATCACACAATCTCTTGAGGGCCCAGATAGAGCAAAAAAGTAGAGGAAGGGTGAATTCCCTGAGCTAGGATGTCTCTCTTCTCTGGCCCTGGGACATCGGCTTTTTCAGGTCTCAGGGCTTCAGACCCTAATACATAAACCAGAGATCCATCTGCTATCCTGTCCCCAGGTTCTCAGGCATTTGGCCTTTGACCGGGAATTATACCATTGGCTTTTCCGTTGTTCAGACTCTTGGACCCAGACTAAATTACATCGTTAGCTTTCTTGGGCCTTCAACTTGCGGTGACATATTATGTGACTTCTCAGCCTCCATAGTCACATGAAATAATTTCTAAAATAAGTCCCCTCTAATATATCCATAGGTATCATATTGTCTCTGTTTTTCTGAAGAATCCTGACTAATTTATACAGGAAAAATATTAGAAGAGAAAGGAGGTTAGTACAAGATAGTAGAATTTTAAAATATTTTATTCTAGCATTGGCAACTTTTTAAAATCAGAAATGATGTAAGATGAATAAAATATATTAACTAATGTCAAATAAAAATGAGAATTAAAATTATGTTCACTCGTACAATTCATTATATATCCTTTATGTAAAAGCATTGTACTGTTTAAATATACATTGATAGATCCAGCAGCCTTAAAGCATTAACATCTATACATAGTTACATCAATATCAGATGTGTAGAAAATTTTAATAAAGTTTAAATCATGCAAAATGTATCTAATAAAATGTGACTATTTTACTCTAATATTATGAATGTGTTTATTCTTTCAATACAGGAATGTAAATATAAATCACTTAAAAACAACCAACAATGAAACTGAAATATTCATTGGACAACCTTTTGTCTGTATTCTGAACAATATTATTTATTAAGAACAATGCATTTCTCCAACATTCTAATTTAGGCTATGGATATGCAGCATTTTTATTATTTTTCACTTAGGAAATCTAGAAAGATGTTTGAGAAGGTAGAACACTGTAAGACATAGAGGAAGTTGAAAATGATTCAAGCATATTTACGTAAGAAAATGTTTAGCCATGCGGTGGCTCACACCTGTAATCCCAGCACTGTGAGAGCCTGAGGCGAGTGGATCACGAGGTCGGGAGTTCGGGACCAGCCTGGCCATCATGGTGATACCCTGTCTCTACTAAAGATACAAAAAATTAGCTGGGCATAGTGGTGCGTGCCTGTAATCCAAGCTACTCAGGAAGCTGAGGCAGGAGAATCGCTTGAACCCAGGAGGCAGAGGTTACAGTGAGCCGAGATTGCATCATTACATACTCCAACCTGGGCAACAGGGCAAGACCATCTCAAAAAAAAAAAAAAAATAGAAAATGTTTAGAAAACTAGCACAGGAAAAAGTAAAAATAGAAAAGTGGTACTACATCACACTAAAAAGCTTCCACACACCAAAGGACACAATCAACAGAATGACAGGAGCAATAATAAAAACAGGAGAAAATAATTGCAAGCCACACATCTGATAAGAAGTTAATTTTCAAAATATATAAATGTGTAAGGAATTCCTATGACCCTATTCATGAATGGGCGAAGCACTTGAGCGGACATTTCTCTAAAGAAGACATATGAATGGCCAACAGATATATGAAAAGATGTTCAACATCAGTAATTATCAGTAAAATGCAAATTAAAACCACAGTGACATAGTACTTCGTACCTGTTAGAATGGCTTTATCAAAGTAACAAAAGATAATTGTTAGTGAATATGTAGAGAAATTTTAATCCTCTGCACTGCTGGTGGCAATGTAAAATGGTACCTAGATGTAAGAAACAGTATGGTGGATCCTTGAAAATTTAAAAATAGAAATACAAATAAAAATAGAAATACCATATTATCCAATAATCCTATTTCTGATATTTATCACAAAGAATTGAAATTATTATGTCAAGGAAATATCTGCACTTCCATGTTATTACAGTATCATTCAAAATAGCCGAGATGTGAAAACAGCTCAAGTATCTATCCACAAATAAATGGATATAGGAAATGTGGCATATAAATATAAAGTACTATTATTCAGCCTTGAAAATAAAGAAAAGCTTGCTATTTGCAACAACATGGAAGAACCTGGAGAGTATTATACTAGTGAAATAAGCCAGTCACACAAGGACAAATACTGAATAATTCCACTTATATGAGAGATCTGTTACAGTCAAACTCATGGAAGTACAGAAGACAATAATAGTTGCCAGGGGCTGTGGGGGTGGAGGAAATAGGGAGTTGTTCAATTGGCATAAAGTTTCAGTTATGCAAGATGAGTAGCTTCCAGAGATCTGGTCTACAGCATAGTACCTATAGTTAACAATACAGTATTGAGCAGGTCACACTATGTTAGCAGAATAGATTCCATGTTAAGTGTTCTTACTACCTCTACACCCCACAAAACGATAACATCGAGGCCACCACCACCAACAAGGCAAAGGGACATAGGAAACTCTGGAAGCTGTTAGATGTCTATTACTTTGATTGTGCTGATGATGTCACAAGTTTTTGCCAATGTCTGAAATCATGATATTGTGCACATTAAATATATATGACTCTTCACGCATCAATTATACTTTAGTAGAGCTGTTAAACAATTTTTTTTAATTAGAAAGAAAAACTACTGAAATGGTAGATCACTAAACTGGTAGTAGGCACGCATATTCGAAATTAAATTTTATTCATGATAAAAAAACATTCAATTGTTTTCCACTACAAAAAGGCAATGTACTTTATTATAGCTAAGCAGAAATTATTTTCCTCTCTGACTTTGATTCCTATGCCAACTAGCTGATTGATTTGTGACTTCTGCTGATTGACAGGGCAGAATGCAAAGGCTTTGCAATTAATGATTGTCTGCTGCTGCTGAGTACTAAGACCTTTATTTTAAATTATGCCAGCATGTTTCACAATTTAATTACAGACCAAGGAATGAGTACTACAATTTTTAATCAAATATTTTTTCTGATAAAGTATAACCTTCTATACTATTTCAATACAAACTAAAAAAAAAATTTAGTATTTTTCAAAATATGCAAAAATATTTTGATCTTTATAATGTTGTTTATTCATTTCCTTTTTTTCTCTTTGAGTTTGTGCTTCCATGTCTAGCTTACATATACATTGATAATTATAGACCCAACTATATATCTAAGTGTTTATTTCAGATGAGTCTGTGTTCACACCAAACCTCCACCTTTAATAGTCTATAAAACTTCTTAATTGCAACTGTACATTTGATAGTGAGAAATGATTTAACTGTCAAATGTTCTTTTCTTAATGAAAGTAACATACAATAGCAAAATTACTCAAAAAGATCAAGGGCATTGGCATAAGCCTAAGAGTCTTTTCTTGCACAAGAAACAATTTAGCATAGTGACAGACTGAACAACATAATATAAAGCATTTATATTTAAGTAGTTTGAAGTAAAGGAGAAATAATAATTGACAGTATCGAACACTTTCTCAGTGGTAAATTGCAAAAAGAAGATATTACTGGAAACCTCTCTAAATTAAATAACATTATATTTATTGGAGAAATAAAAGAGGAATGTTTGAAAAGATAAGGTTGAAAGTTTACACCAAGATTTGCTTTAACATTGTTTAACTTAATGACAATAAGTGTAGTTCAGTAGAGTAAAACACAATTTTAGTCTACTTTTCAGTTCCACTTAAGGAAAATTGTTGGCACTTAATGACAATTTAAAATAATTTTTTTTATTCAGCTCTAGGTTCTACTGTACTGTCACCCCAGAAAGCACATAGAATCATCTGGTGTCCACTGGGGTTTGGATCAGAACCCTTGTGGACACCAAAATTCACAGATGCTCAAGTCTTATATAAATGGCATAGTATTTGCATGTTAACTATGCAATCCCCCTGCATGCTGTAAACCATCTCTATATTGTTTATAGTACCTATGTAAATGTAAATAATATGTAAATAGTTACACTGTATTACTTTAAAATTTGTATTGTTTTCTATTACTGTATTTTTCTTTCTCTTGTTTTTTCCCAAATATTTTTTATCTCCAGTTGGTTGCATCTGCAGATACAGAGAGCCTATTGTATTTCCTTTTCTTTCCTAGTAATATAATTCTATTACTTCATTTATACTAATTTCAGTTCCTTCCTTTCGTTAAAATTATATATATATATAATTAAGAAAAATGCACTTGTGTAACACAAATATATTGCTCTTAAAGCTTTAATTTATCTAGCCTTAAAAACTGCATGGGAATACAGAGGTAATAGCAGTAGCCATCCATAGATATGCCATACTTAGATCTGGTTATTAACCTCAGTGCTTTATTGACTCAACATGCTTAAGGAAGTTTCTGGGCAAGGCTTGTCTGATTAACCCAATTTGAATGAGCTACATTCAGGAAGTGAGGGATCAATGTCAACAATTTCTTAATTGTCTTCAGGTTTAAAGGATTTTAAAGAGACTAATAGATTTTTTTAATAAGTAACTTTCTGGAAAATAGTTGAAGAGTTAAAGAGAAAAATGATATAGTGCAGGTAATTTAAAAAACAGTTTAAGTAGAACTAAGCATAAAAACAAACTAAAAAATACTTTTTTTTCCTAAAGAGGACAGTTTTCATTGAATTGTCAACTGAACTCACAGATAAATTCATGTGATTAAATAACAACTGTTTACTGAAATTGGGACTTTTTTTGTTTGTTTGTTTTGTTTTTGTTTTGAGACAGAGTCTTGCTCAGTCGCCCAGGCTGGAGTGCAGTGGCGCCATCTCGGCTCACTGCAACCTCCACCTCCTGGGTTCACGCCATTCTCCTGCCTCAGCCTCCCGAGTAGCTAGGACTACAGACGCCCGCCACAACGCCCGGCTAATTTTTTTTTTTGTATTTTTAGTAGAGACGGGGTTTCGTCATGTTAGCCAGGATGGTCTCAATCTCCTGACCTCGTGATCCACCCGCCTCGGCCTCCCAAAGTGCTGGGATTACAGGAGTGAGCCACGGTGCCAAGACAACAATTTTTTATATAATTGCAAGTTACATTTTCCAAACCTCTTTTAATTAAAAAAAAAATGCTTAAAAGCTCAAGCTACTTCTCAAATATGCCACATGGCTTTGGATGAATCCAAGGTTTTGAATTTATGTATGGAAGACATATGCAATATAAATGTTGTTTATTATGCAGATTTATAAAAGTAATCATTTATAAAATACTCTCAATGAAGAAAAAATCAGGTTTAACTATATTTTATTTTGTCTTTTCTCATTTTATTTTAATCTTTTCATCCCTATCAGATTACACTGTAATTAAATAACATTCTGTGCTACAGAGATAAAATCTCCACCTTGAGTGATTTCAAAAGTTTTAGGCCAGTAGCCTCACAAACTAAAATATATAATCATGTATGCAGAAAAGAATAGTACTAAATCAAGTTGTAACTACGTTATATCACTAAATCCAGTGCTAAAAAATATATGCTTTTTGGTTTATTCATTCTTGGTAAAAACAATGTAGACATGTTACTGGAAACAAAAGCTTAGATGGCTTACAAATATTTTATACCCCCAAAAGCAAAATTCTAGCAAAATAAAGCAGAAGAATGTGGCTAGAGGTCTTACAGACTCTCAAACTTAATCTTCTATGACTATGCTTAAAATACTGGCCCCGGTGGAGGATGGTGTTAGAACACTTACAACTGACTATGCCTGCTTCTGCTCCCTTGTGTCATTAAATTTTCCCAGATTTTCTTAGATGAATTCACATGATAATCTAATTAAGTAATAGGTTACAAAATCAGCTTTAATTTTCCTGTGTCACTAAGACACTGCAAACACACATTTTAAGTTTTAAGTTTGCGTAAGCAGAAGCAACCTTCATAAGACATCAAACACGGAAATGTTCCTGCTGTGGTAAGAAAATACGACAAACTTCTTTGCAAAAACATTTCTTAGTATGGCATAATTAATAAACTTCCCAGACACCTTTGTTCACTTCCTGGGTAGAAGCATAGTCAAAGGGAAAAAAAAAAAAAACTATTAGTTTCAGAGCTCTATATGCTCATGACTCCCAATCTGAAACCTAGAGTTTTCACTCTATCTCCAGACTCATATGTGCAACTATATGCTTGATATTTCTCGTATCTTTTTCAGATTTTCAACAAAATTGTGAGCTTCTGTTCACTTTAGTATGGTTCTAGAAGCTGGGATATATAATTAATTAAACAAAATCTTTGTGTTTATAAAACATACTTCCTGAGTAGTGGGAGATGTTTGATAGCAAATATGCAATGGAAAAAAAAAGTAGAAGGAAGGAAAAGTTTAGGAAATGGGGGATTGAATTGTTGTAAAGATGGTCCAGGAAGCCCTCACCAATAAGAACATAGTTAGAAAATACATGAAATGAGTGAGGGAATTAGTAATATAACAATCTGGGGAAGAGCATTCCAAACAGAAGGGCAGTGCAAAAGCAAAGGTAAAACATGTAATTGAAGCAGATGCAGAGGCATACTGATCTACAGGGAGAGAAACAGCAAACGAGGCAAGAAATAACATGGAACAAGATCATGTAGTACCTGATACATTATTAAAATAGTCCTTAATTTTACTCTTTGTTATATGAAGAATCATGAGGTTTTAAGCAGAAGAGCAATACTGTTGAATGCCATTTCAAAAGGATAGTAAGATAGTTCTGGTTACTATTTAGAGAATAGACTATAATGAGATTCTCCCAACAACCATCTACTTGTTATTTTTTTTCTGTATCTGCTTGTCCAATAATTTTTTTGTAAATAGTAACTAAACCTTCTCATTGCTCAATCAATAGTGCTTAAGATTATTAGTCTTTTTCAGATATCAATAGAAGTCAACAAAATCTGTCAAATTTATTTACAAAACCTATCCAGAAACAGGAATGCCACATAACTTCCAATATATTTATCACTTTATTCAAGCCATCATCATTTCTCACATACTTTATGAGAATGAGGTTTTCTCCCTCTAACATTTTGGAGAAAATAAAAATCCAGGATTTGAAGTTATAACAGTCTCTAGAAAGTCAAATAATTTTTCACAAACTATGAATTTTGTTTTATTTTAAATGTGTGTACAATGGATTGATTCCAGGATTTGGTAGCAGAGAGAAACTCCAGGATTTATAGACGGTTGCATACTGAAAGGTACTTTCATATACATTACATTTTCTGGAAGAAATGCAATGAAGAGATCTCACCCTGAGAACCTATATGTGCATAAAACCTAGACGAAACTCCACAAAATCATAGAAAAGAAAAAAAGTACAAAAATATTAATTTATCTTTGAAATAAATATATAGAGGAAATGCTCACATTTACAATGTAAATTACAAGATGAATTTGGAAGAGCCAACATTGCTGACTATATGTAGCCAGGAAGACTGAGAGACAAGACCATTACAAAGACCAGCAAACTCAATGTGGCTATTTGGAATAAAGGCATTGAGAGTGGACAAAAGAAGAATGCAGACCCTGAGTTGAATTGGGGGAAAGCTGAGGACCCAGCACAGGGTTGCTGAGCACCAAGAATAATTCCTTGCTCCAAGCAGCTCCTGGGAAAATAGTAAGTTAAAGAGGCATAGAATGGCCTCACTCCTCTCCAAGGGTCTCTGTCTGGCAACACTGCTTGCAACACACCCTCAGATGCCCAAACAAGTTTCTTCCTAGTGGCCGCCATCATAGCCTCCTTGCCTGCAGACCCCACCTGACCATTGAAGAGCTTCCGCAAATGGGCTCCAGTGAGTACTTATCTGCCACACTTTCCCATTGCCACTTTGCCAGCATGCATACACACAAAATCTCACTGCCCTGCTACCACCAGCACTCATGCATGCATGCAGACTCTTCTGCCACACTTCCCCAATGAAACACTTTTGCCAGCAACCCTCATTGAAATGTTGTAGCCAACAGACTGAGAACACCTCACCCCATCCAGTGCAGCAGGGCTTAACATCAGGGGGCCAGAGAGCAAAGCTGTGAGCCTGGTCCCACTTCCCGAGTGTTAGACCAAGGAGTCCAAGTATGCTGAGCTGGGCCTTTGTCACTTGAAATAATCCGGACGTAAAGCCATTCAATTGAACCCAATTTTTACCATAGTCAAACCTTCAAGGATATCAAAGGATATAAAAGCAAAAATTCCCATCCAAAGGACAGTAATGTCAAAGATTAAAGGATCATCAACGCACATGCATAAGAAAAAAAACAATGTGAGAACTCTGGAAACAAAGACAGAGTTTCTCCTTGCTTCCAGATGGTTGCAGTAGTTCCCCAGCAATGTTTCTTAACCAAATTGAAATGGCTAAAATGACAGAAATAAAATTCAGAATCTGAAGGGCAATGAAGATTACTTAGATTCAGGAGAAAGTTGAAACCCAATCCAAGGAATCTAAGGAATTCAATAAAATAATTCAAAAGCTGAAAAACAAAGTAGCCATATTAAGGAAGAACCAAACTGATCTTCTAGAGCAGAGAAACTCACAACAAGAATTTTATAATACAATAGGAAGTATTAATAGCAGAATAGAACAAGCTGAGGAAAGAATCTCAGAGCTCAAAGACCAGTTTTTAAAGCAATGCAGTCAGAGAAAAATAAATAAAAAAGACTAAAATGGAATGAACAAACCATCTGAGAAATATGGAATTATGTAAAGCGACAAAACCTATGAATTATTGGCATCCCAGAAAAAGAGAGAGAGAGAAAGCACCTTGGAAAACATATTAGAGGTTATTGCACACAAAAATTTCCCCAACCTTGCTAGAGAGGTCAAAAAGCAAATTGAAAACATTCAGGGAACGACCTGTGACATACTATAAAGAGGATAATTCTCAAGACACATAGTTTTCAGGTTATCCAAGATCAATGTGAAAGAAAACATGTTAAAGACAGCTGTAGAGAAGGGGCAAGTCACCTGTGAAAGGAATCCTATCAGGCCAACAGTCGACCTTTTAACAAAAACTTTCCAAAATATAAGATTGGAGGCCTATTTCAATATCCTTAAAGAAAAGAAATTCCAACCAGGAATTTTATATCTAGGCAAACTAAGCTTCATAAGCAAATGAGAAATAAAATCCATTCAGACAAACAAATGCTAAAATAATTTGTTATCACCATATCTGTCTTTTAAGAGGGTCTTAAAGGAGTGTTAAACATGGAAACAAACAAGCAAACAAAGAAAAACATTACCAGCCATCATAAAAACAAACAAGTATATAGACTATTGACAGTATAAAGCAACTACACAATCAAATATATATAACCATCAGCTAACAACACAATGACAGGATCAAATATATGCATATTGCTATTAACCTTGAACATTAATGTGCTAAATGCCCCACTTAAAATGCATAGACTGGCAAATTGGATAAAGAAGCAAAACTCAACTGTATTCCGTCTTCAAGAGACCCATTTCCCATGCAATGACACCCATACTCCAAAAATAAAGAGATAGAGAAGTATCTACCAAGCAAATGGATAATAAAAAAAGCAGGGATTGCTATCTTTTTTTCACACAAAACAGACTTTAAGCTGAGAAAAATCAGAAACGACAAAGAAGAGTATTATATAATGATAAAGGGTTCAACTCAATGAGAAGACTTAACTATCCTAAATATATATGCATCAAAAACTGGAGCACCCACATTCATAAAACAAGTTCTTGGAGACCTACAAAGAGAGTTATATAACCACACAATACTAGTGTGGAGATTTCAATACCCCACTGACAGTATTAGACAGATCATCAAGGCAGAAAACTAACAAAAATATTTGAGACCTTAAGTCAACACTTGATCAAATGGACATAGCAGACATCAACAGAACACTCCAGCCAACAACAGAATATGCATTCTTTTCGTCTTCATATGGCATGCACCCTAAAATTTACCTCATGTTGGGCCATAAAGCAATTCTTAACAAATTCAGAAATACTGAAATCTAACCAACTACAATATCAGACATCAGTACAATCAAAATAAAAATCAATACAATAAGATCTCTCAAAACTATGTAATTACATGGAAATTAAACAATTTTCTCTTGAATTACATTTTGGTATATTAAGAAAATAAGGCAGAAATCAAGAAATTCTTTGAAACAAATAAAAACGAAGGTACAGCACACCACAATCTCTGGGTCACAGCTAAAGCAGTGGCAAGAGGAAAATTTATAGCACAAAACACCCACATCAAAAAGTTAGAAAAATATCAAATTAAGAACCTACATCACACTGAGAGGAACTAAAAACAAAAACACACACAAGCAAACCAACTCCAAAGACAGAAAAAAAAAATCAGAGCTAAAGTGAATAAAATTGAGATGTGAAAACTGGTACAAAAGATAATCAAAAGCAAAAGTTTTTTCTTCATAAGAATAAATAAGATTAATGCATTTCTAGCTAGACTAATAAAGAAAAAGGAGAGGCGATGCAAATAAACACTATAAGAAGTGGCAAAAGGGACATTACTACACACCCCATAGAAATACAGAAATAAATGAAAAAATACCCTCAGAGACTATTATAAACACACCTATGCACACAAACTAGGAAACCTAGAATAAATTGATAAATTATTGCAAACAACCTTTCAAAATTGAACCAGTAAGAAATTGAAACCCTGAACAGACCAATAATGGGTTCTGAAATTGAATCAGTGATAAAAAGCCTACCAACCAGAACATACCCTGCCATACAAATTCACAGTCAAATTCTACCAGACATATATGAATAGCTGTTACCAATACTACTGAAACTATTCCAAAACATTGAAAAGAAAGAATCCTCCTAAACTCTTTCTATGAGGCAAGCATCATCCTGATATCAAAACACTAGAGGAGTCACAATAAAAATAGAAAACTTTAGACCAATATCCCTGATGTACAAAGATGCAAAAATTCTTAACAGAATACTAGTAAACTGAATTCAGCAGAACACCAAAACTCTATTCCACTACACTCAAATAGGCTTTATTCCTGTGATGCAAGTTTGGTTTAACATACACGAATCAACAAATGTGATTCATCACATGAATAGAACTAAAATACACACACACATGCACACACATTGTCTCAACAGATGCAGAGAAGGCTGATCATCTCAATACACTCAGAGAAGGCTTTCAATAAAATTCAACATTCTTTAACGTTAAAAACCTCAACAAACTAAGCATTAAATGGATGTATCTCAAAATAATAAGAGTCGCATATGACAACCTCACAGCCAACATCATACTGAATAGGCAATAGCTGGAATCATTCCCCTTGAGTAGTGGAAGAAGACAAGAATATCTACTCTCATTACTCCTCTTCAATGTAGTACTAGAAGTCCTGGCCAGAGTAATCAGGCAAAAGAAAGAAATAAAAGGCATCCAAATTGGAAGAGAAGAAGTAGAACTATTTTTATTCACTGCCTAGTGGAGCTGTGAGAAGAGGGCCACTGTCCTCCAGACCCCAGAGTGGTAGATCTGCTGACAGCTTGCACCGTGCATCTGGGAAAGCCACAGACACTCAATGCCGTCTGATGAAAGCAGCCAGAAGGGAAGATAGTATCCTGCAAAGCCACACGGGTGGAGCTGCCCAAGACCATGGGAACCCACCTCTTGCATCAGTGTGACCTGAATGTGAGACATGGAGTCAAAGGAGATCATTTTGGAGTATTAAGATTTGACTGCCCCATTGGATTTCAGACTTGCGTAGGGCCTTTAGCCCCTTTGTTTTGGCCCATTTCTTCCATTTGAAATGGGGTATTTATCCAATTCCCACACCCTGCTTTGTATCTAGGAAGTAACTAACTTGCTTTTGATTTTACAGGCTCATGGGTGGAAGGGACTTGCCTTGTCTGAGATGAGACTTTGTGTTGTGGATTTTTGAGTTAAAGCTGAAATGAGTTAAGACTGTGGGGTACTGTTGGGAAGGCATGATTGATTTTGAAATGTGAGGACATGAGATGTGAGAAGGGGTCAGGGCATAACAATATGGTTTGTCTGTGTCCCCATCCAAATCTCATCTTGAATTGTTGCTCTGTAGTTCCTATAATTCCCACGTGTTGTGGGAGGGACTTGGTGGTGGAAGATAAATGAATCAGGGGGGCGGTTTCCCACATACTGTCCTTGTGGTAGTGAATAAGTCTCATGAGACCTGATAGTTTTATAAGGGGAAACCCCTTTTGCTTGGCTCTCATTCTCTCTTGTCTGCCACCATGTAAGATGTGGCTTCCTCCTTCCACCATGATTGTAAGGCTTCCCCAGCCACGTGGAACTGTGAGCCCATTAAACCTCTTTTTCTTTATAAATGACCCAGTCTCAGGAATGTCTTTATCAGCATCATGAAAATGAACTATTACATACCCTAAGGAATATGTCATTCTACCATAAAGACACATGCGTGCATATGTTCATTGCGGCAGTATTCACAATAGCAAAGACATGGAATTAAACTAGATGTCCATCGATGGTGAATTGGATAAAGATAATGTAGTACATATACACCATGAAATGCTATGCAGCCATAAAAATAAGGAATCATGTTCTTTGCAGCAACATGGATAGCACTGGAGGCCATTATCCTAAGCGTATTTGTAAATTTGCTTAGGACAGCAAGAACGGAAACCCAAATACCATATATTCTCACTTATTAGTGGGAGCTAAACTTTACACATGAACACAAAGAAGGGAACAATAGACATTTTGGCCTACTTGAGGGTAGAGTGTAGGGGGAAGATGAGGAGCAAAAAACTACCTTTTGGGTAATACACTCACTACCTGAGAGACAAAGTAATGGGTACACCAAACCTCCACAACATGCAATTTACCCACGTAACAAACCTGCACCTGTTCCCTTGAACCTAAAATAAAAGTTGGACAGAAAAAAAAGAGATAAATTTCATAATAAAATTATAATAACACCTGGAAATTACAACCGTAGGCAGGATAAGTTTATTTTAAATGTTTGTATATTTTTTAAAACTTGAAGCACAAAGTCAATAGATGTAGAATAAAATACATTGAGAATTATAAAGAGTTATTCATTTTAAATAAATGTCAAAGTTAGGACTCTGGAAAAAAGTTATCACCATGTCCCTGCACTTCTTCCTTAGTCACTCATGGTAGATAATGATACACATTTGACCATCAGGAAATGATAATAAAACATGATTAAATAAAGTTGATATCATTGCAGAGAAACATAAAAATTCATCAAATAATAAAAAGGAGAAATACTTCAGAAACTGAGGCAAACAGAACCAGAACATGGAATGAAAACAATTTTTCAAGAGAGATGCCTATACTGAACATATTAATAAAATAATAAAATGTGGATCATGAAATTAATTGTATACATATTTATATATGCACACACATTATATATCAATGTATATGTAATTATATGCTATTTATATATATATACACTGTGTGTGTATATGTACACATATATGTGCATATATATATATATGCATGCAATAAAAGTACTGAATAGCCAAATAGACTAGGATATGGAACAAAAAATTAAAATAAACAGTTTCATATACACTAATAAATGTAGACGGGTTTTCATTAATAAAAAGCATTAAATGTTCAAATCAAAAGTCTTCAAAAGTAAGTGTAGTATATGTGAATTAGTTATTTGAATTGTATGCAGCCATTGTGCTCATAGGTTATTATTACTATGGCTATTTTTAACTATCAGTCAAGTTTACCGGAGATGCCAACCAAATTGATAGCCTTCGATTCTGTAAAGTAAAATGAGATTAGAAAAAGGGTGAAAAAGAGATGACTCACATGTTGTCCACTGTAGTTATCCATTTATTACACTTTATCAAAGAGAAGACAAAATTAAGAAATAAAAAATAAATATTACCGATTTCAAAATGGAAAGCATGATTTGATGGTGACATCTATTGACATTTACTTCTTGGTTGCGATCATCAAACATAATTGGCCATTTTCAAGGCATTTGATTTCATCAAATTCTCGCAGCTCTTGTTTGGTAATGTGATGTCATCTTTGTCTTTATTAATGTAAATCTCCAATTCTTTTGCAGGCAAGCCAATCATTGAAGTAGAAATTTTATTGTAGAGAGACTCTAGAAACTGAGTGCTTAAAAGATATTTTTTTCTTCTCTTTGGTTGTATTAGGTAAGGTAGTCTGGACAGCTGTAATAGACCAAAAAGTGTAATTGTTAAACAAAATAAATAATCATTTTTCTGTCCCATAGCAAATCCAAGTCAGTAAGTCCACAGAAGCTGTACCCTCTGCAGTCATTCAAATATCCAATATTCTGGATTCTCAGCCAGTTTCATCACAACACTTTCCAGGTAACTGGTTGTTGATTTCCTAGTCCACAGCCTAGAACAGGCATACATTATGCTCCACACATCCTACTGGGGTAAATTTATTCACATGGCCACATCCAACTAGCTGTGCAATGTTGTGTATTATACAAAGAGAACCAGAAAGGGTATTATTTTTGCTGTATTGAAAAATTGAATATATTTGTTTAATCTATTTTTATGCTTGCATAACCAGTGAGTATTTTTTTAGGTAGGAATTCTACGTATGTCTTTGAAGCATCCCTTAATCAGCTCAGTATACTCCTTCAAACTTTATAATCAATAAATTAAATATTTTACTTTTCAATGGAAAAATACAGTTTCAGACCAATATAATTTCTACTATTCTAATTTAATTTGGGGCCAGTCTAAGATCGCTGCTAATTTAAACATTTCTCAGGATAATGTTTACTTTTAGAGACAGTTTTAATATATAGCATATTCACTTTATTTTGTCAGTGTCTTTTATCATTTTATCTCAATCCAGAATTATAGTTTTCTAACATTTAAGTTACTGGTTCAAAAGCCAACTTAGAGATCACTATTAAAAAGGAAGCATGGTGACAGATTTTTAAAACAGGGGAAGTTAGAGCTTTGCACATTTTAAATATATACCTACATGGAATAATTTTAAACAAAACCTAACTACTACATTGAGCTCCTATATGTGTAATACAGTTTGCAGGATTATTTGATGAAGGGTATTTCATGTAGGTACTTGCTTTATCTTCTTTCATTTTTAAGTACTGATAAAGCAATCTAGAGAGCTACAAAATTGTAATTGGTTTCTGTAAACCCTAGCCTGAAAGATACACTTCATATGAATCTTTCACAGACACTCTCATCTGTTTATCATTCGTTTGATTTTTTTTTTCCAGCTCATAAGAAGTATGCTTGCACATTTGCATTCTGTCCATCCCTAAATTCAAGTAAAGGTCAGCTTTCCTATAAAAAGACTATAAATAGTGCATAAAATGATAATCCAAGCTAGCACATCAAGAAAATAAAAGCATAAAGTAAAGGTCATTTTCACAATTTTTATCTTGAAGCTCTCTCAAAAATATATAGTGTGAAAATTTGTCAAAGTTTTCAAAAGAAGAGGGTGGAAGTTGAAGTTCTTTTTCCTTTGTATTTTTTTCTATGAACTTGCTAGAAATTAAAAATAGGTAACACATTGTTGAGACCATTATCTTTACATTAGTTTGGTTACTGGATTCATTACTCTGATATTTAATCAGTTATCAGAGTAATACTTGTTTAGGTTAGAAATAATCACTATTTCGTTGGAAACTGCATTTAGATTTGGTTACATTAAAAATTGATAAAGCATATAAGCCTTTCCAAGATAATCAAGAAGAAAACACTTATTTTTAAATAATTATTTAAATAAAATATGTTGGTACATTTTAATATTTCAACTTTTATTCAGTGAGCATTTATCAGGAATCTAATACTTGTAATAGGAACATATTGTATTAAATTAACTGTGTATTCTGTAACAAGAAAACCTAGAATTGCACTAAAAAAACTTTCCCCAAATTGGAAAGTTGCTGAGAAACCAAATAATGACTTGGACAAATCCAGCTTGGCAAGCAGATGAGTTTATTAGGACTTAACATACGAGGCAACAGGGAAGCTTTAGAGATTAATGTGCCGCCTCCCATCTCTAAGCTGATTTTAAGCTAATTTTCTGTCTCTTTGCCTACTGTATGTGTGTAATAGGACTGTTTTTCTTAATATGTTCCTAGGTAGTCTCTGGGATGTTTGGGTTCTCATGGATACCTGCTCCTTGGCTGGGCACTGTGGCCTTGGCTTACTGCCGGGCCTTCAGAGTTTAGACAGCAGACATACACCCCTTAGTAACCTGGTGGGGGATCGGTCACGCTAATATTCACCCTGTCCCTCAGCTCTTATATTCTTCTCACAAACTCTTGCGTAAGGGTCTCTGAGCAGGGTATAAGGGAAATAACTATGGAGGTCTATAACATATAGCCATGGTTTGTGTGTGCGAGCCACATCCACAGTACACACAACGGCATGAAAAACAGAAGCTAAGTACAATTATAATGTCTATTAGCAAAACATAACTCCAAGGGGTAGGTAAGTTGTGTAACCAATCTGGGAATGAGTCAAAGAAACCCAATTGAGTTATACAGTACATTTGAGTTGACAAATGATTTAAAGCATCTGTCACATTATTCTCTTCATAGGCAAAACAGATAGCATCATAAGCTACCCTGGGCTTCCGTGAGAAAGTTCAAAGTCACATAGCTTTGTAATACTACCTTTCTCATTTGAGCAGTCTCCTGACCTAGCAAGCTAATGCTATTCTTAGTATGATCAAATTCCTTGGCAGTTAATAGTGCCAGGACAGTGACTTGAGTCAAATCATCAATGGTACCTGCAGATAATGTGAGAATACTCATTGGCCATTTCTGCTGTGCCAAGGATCAGAGAAACCTGGCTCTCATGGTTTGTATGTTGGATGGGCTGGTGGGTGGTTTTGTATATAACTCCTGGTAGAAATGACTACCCCACTGCATATCACCCAAGCCAAGTTATGAAGTACATATGGCCATAAATGAGCCCCACTTATAACCATCCTGCCCCCAAAGGTGAAGAAAACACACTTGCCTTCTTACAGCTATTTTGTCAACCAGTCCAGTCTGTTGCCAACACCGGATAAGTACAATTACAGGCTAATGGGGGTAGCAACCACATCAGTTAGGAATCGGTGGCAGTGGAGGTGTGGTTACGTCTCAAAATATACAGAGGCTCTTTTGTAGAGCACTGCATTTTCAGCAACTGCCCAGAAGATGCCATCTTCTATGGACATGTGAATGGTGTGGTGTCATTCATTTGTTGTCAGTCAAGAGCAAACATATTTTGGGTCTCTGTTCTGCTATTGATACGCCCACCAGGTGGATGCAATCCCCAGTGAACCAGGGTTGCCTTATTGGTACTGTTGAACAAGTTACTGCAATTCCGTCAGGAGGAAGGTAGAATATTCCAAGGCATAACACTAAAACTTGACAAGAGGAAGTATCCACATACCAAACAGACTGGGTGCTGACTGCTGCTATAATTGCAGCCTAGTATAGGAAGACATTCTAGACTGGTGGCAGGAACAACAGCCTATGGGTGTAAATACAGGTGTTTAGTGGGAGCCCTCATGGGTATTCACTGTAATATTATTACTTCTTTATTTTCTTCCATTGGCCCTGTTAGGAAGGCCACCAAGCCTCAAACCCGGCTTACAGTACCACGGAGGGCTTCTTTCCCTAGGAGCAAGTATAATAGCCAATT
The DNA here is from genome assembly GCF_000001405.40 of Homo sapiens. Classification (NCBI taxonomy): domain Eukaryota; kingdom Metazoa; phylum Chordata; class Mammalia; order Primates; family Hominidae; genus Homo; species Homo sapiens. Next base: position 25,797,884 of record NC_000005.10, on the reverse strand, counting down.
GGTAAGTTTCTGGCCTGGCCTGTGCTATCCACACTATGATCACTTCTGTAGGTGTCAGTGCTACCAAGTGTTGATACCGTCAGGTTCTCAGACCTCCTTCAAGTAGCACAGCTGGGATCAACTCCCCTCCAGCAGCCTTCGTGGTACCTTCTGGTGCCATGAAACTGATCCAGTACAGGAGCACTTTCTAGCTCAACTCAGGTTCATTTAGCCATTGGCACATGGCAGATCCACTGGTATTCTCAGGAGCATGGTGTGGCCACCTGATTCAGGAGCATGGCACTGAGTCTCAAGAGGTAACCCTGAGACTCTGTAGGGCCTGTTTTACAGACCTTTTCAATCATTCACAGGGAGTGAAACCATGTGTGGTAGTGAATGACTCATTTAAAATGTGTATAGCTTCAGCAAGTTTCTTAGACCAGGACCCTAAAGAACTGTCTTGAGACAATCCACATAATTAGGTTTTTAACAGAGCATTCTTTTTTTCTATGAGGCCTGTCCCTCTTGAGCTACATGGTAAGTGGAACCTCCAGTCTATGTCTTATTCCATTGCCCAGTGTTAGACATCATGGCCCATGTAATGGGGGCCCTGATCACTACCTATCCTTCTTGGCATAGAGTGCATGACAGTGAGTGAATGGCATGTTTTACCGGGAAGGTCTGTAAGTAGCCCCGTTGTTGTGGCTACACAGGTTAAGGCATAGCTTGTCCCTCCTCTGTGGGGCAGGGGGCCGACATAATCGACTTGCCAGTCCTGCATAGATTGTACAGTTCAACATATGTAACCTGGTGAGGAGGGAAATTTTCTAGGTCATAGCCATGAACGAGTCTTCCCAGTTCAGAAAAGTTGCCAGAATATCTGCATATTTGATAAGGATGCCTGCTGCCTTTGCTATGGCCCATCCCATGGCTGCCCCTTAGTGGTCGCTCTTATGATGTAACCATATGGTGGGCTCCTCCAATAGGCTTGGGCAAATTGCCAGCACATGAGTAAGGGCATCTACCTCCTGATTTACTCAAGGTGACTTGGAGCTGTGTGCATCCATATGGTACACTGTAAGATAGGCATCCTTCTTGTGTAACTTGATGTGGATGTCCTGCCACATGGACGTTCCACAAAGGGGCCTGATGAAAACCTGCCAAATGTCTGTGGGCCATTGATTGATCCACATGGTAAGGCTTTTGTATGTAGCCCAATTGTGCAAGTGACTAGTGACCAGGGCTCATGGGTGAGGAGTATCCAAACTGCCCATAGCTTGCACCATGACAACTCACCATTAGTGTTGAGTGCCTTTGCTAGACCCATCAGTGTACCAGGCACTAGTGGGTATTGGTGGGATCCCATCATATATGATGGTTTGCCTGAGAGGTGGCTCCACTTCCATGTCTGTCCCTTCTACTTGTTCAGAGTGGATGGGTCAGAGCACTTCCTGTAGTGCCTGACTTAAAAGACTGGTGGACAAGACATCTCTTTTTAGTAGACAGGTGCGCCATTTCTGCAAGGTGTGTTTTGTGCCACACCAGAAGTGGGCTTGGCTAGGAGGTCTTTTATTCATCCTTTTATAGTACAAGCAATCTTTACTGTGATGATCTGCCTCATATGATGGCCTCTGCTCATTGCAATGGCTTATACATGGCCAACAGCTGTTGCTCTAAGACTGTACAATGAGATTCTACCCCTTCCATAATTGAGGCCAAAACCATATAGGTACCATTCCTATTGGTTATTTTTGCCACAAACAACAACTGATGCCTATGGCATCTCTAGAGACTTTTAATACAAAAGGGTGTTATAGCAGTGTGGCCCCTAGATTGTGTGGGTGATTTTAGAATGTGCCCCTGGCAAGCAGTATTGTTCGCATTCATTACCTGCCTGGGCCACAGCAAGTGTACAGGCACCCATTGGCCCATCCCTTTTTTTGTTCTTTGATTACATTATGGCCTCAGTCCTTCCTTTTATCCAGCTCGCTGAGGTCTGCCAATGTTTCACACACACACACACACACACACACACACACACACACACACACAGATTTTATTTTTTAATAACAGGCTCAGAAATGTGATTAAGGCACCATATCAAAACCCTCCTTAAATTAGAAATGACCCAGAAATTCAATGGGTACCTGTAATAATTTTAAGATTTTAAGACACAAAAAGTCTACCCACAAGAATTTATCTCATTTAAATTTAATAATTTTATTTATTTTTTAGCTGTTTACCTAGTTTATTCATGACAACCAAAACATTAGACAAAGCTAGTCATTATTTCAGGTTACTTTTTGTTAATCATTTTCATAATCTGTAAATATTAGGTATTCATTTAAGCAAGAACCTTAAACACATGACCATTTTGGCTGATAACTCAGAAAATTTAGCTGTTTTATTAAATCAACAACATCAAATTAGTTTTAATTATGAAAAACACAAAAAACAAATGTTACTCTGTTTTTGGCTGGGTTTATAGTCCTATAAACTTTATGTCAAAGCTTAACATCATAAAATATTTAGTAGAGAAAAACATAAAAATTATATAATCAGTAAACACCAAAATATATGTTAACGCTTTTGAAGATAGTTTTATGTTTATTTTACTAATAATTTTAAAGCCAGTTTATTTACCAAAGATTAGTGAATTCACATGAACTTGAAAATCATTTGGACTTACTTGAGTATTCATGTATTTACAAGCCAAGTTGGTAGCATTCTAGAAACAACAAATAACATAATACATGTACATATGCTTAAACACATCTAAACACACACACACACACACACACCCTCAAAGATCCAAGAGCTTTTACCTCAGAACTCTAGTCATGAGACAATATCGCAAACTCATTATTTTACTAAAGACGGCTGTTTTCAAATTATTTTTTACAAAATTGGGACTTGTATATATGGCTAAACTTTATTTGCCCTGACAGGTAATCCAAGGAAAGACATGGATCAAAATTTTGGATAAAGTATATTCCATGGCACTTTGATATGTAAACAAACAAACAAACAAAACAACTCTTTTATCTTTTCTTTCCTTCAGTTCCAAATGAGTTTCGTTGTTACATTTTAGTAGAACTGGTTGAAGTAAGAAAAAGAAAACCTCCAAGTTGCCTTGAATGAGTGAGTTTTATCTCAACCCTGGTAGCTTAATAACAGCAGATTCAAAGTAGGCAGAAAATGAAAGAGAAACAGATAGCTTTAGAACACTCTACTTAACTCTACAGTTGCAGATTAACCATTTGAGCTCTGAATTTATTTTGTTGTTGTAATTTGCCCATCAGTTTTAAAACATGCACAAGATATCTTTGTCTACCAGAACAGACGAAGAAATTTTTAAAAAATAAACTTGCACACGCCAGGGCCATAATATGTGACTAGCTGGAGTCGTAGAAAACCTAGCATGCCTTTCAACTTCTGCAGGAGTTTCTATTTTTTCTCTTTTCTGCTCTAATGATTTTTCCATAGCCAGCCTTATTGTAACAATAGCGCATTTACTATTCTTTTGTACCTTAATATCTTATCTTCTTGTAATAGGCGCCCAGTCTCTGCCCACATTTTCCAAGTATTCCCATACTTACCTAGCATTCCACAAAGGTTAAGCAGCCAGGCAACTCCACCCCACATGCATGCTGCCAACCACCCAAGATTCCTCCCACAGATGCTCCTTTCTCTTTTAGTCTCTCAGATCTTATTTGTGACACCAACAGTAATGAGAAAAACCCAGCATTCTATTTAAAAACAAGCAAACAAACAAACAAAACCTTTCCCCATATTGACAGGGAACTGAGGGACCAAAGAATGACTTGGACAAGTCCAGCTTGCTGAGTAGAGGAGTTTACTAAAACTGAGGACTTACATATGAGGCTCTCCTGGACAGCAGCAGGATAGCTTTGGAGATCCATGCTGCCTACCATGCCTAAGCTGCTTTCAAGCTAATTTTCTGGCTCTTTCTGTTGTGTGTGTGTGTGTGTGTGTGTGTGTGTGTGTGTGTGTGTGTGTGTGTGTGTGTGTGTGTGATGGGACTGTTTCCTCCCTTGGAATGCTCCCAGATAGGCTCTGGATGTTTAGGTTCTCGGGGACACTTGCTCTTTGGCTGGGTACCATGGCTTTTTCCCACTGCCTGGCCTTCAGACTTCAGGCAGTGGACATACATACTTTAGTAATCTCACAGGGGACCTGTCACACTACATATTCATCTATTTTTAGTAATGATTTTTAACCTATTCTAGTTTAGCTAGATAACTTAGGTATCAGTAACTTTTGAAAGCCTTTAGAAAGGCCACCTTTGTTAGTTTTGGGATCCGTAAATTATGTAAGCATTATGATCTTGCCTCAGTTGTAATCTATTTAGGACAAAGTACCAAGGTTTGATAAAGTCTGTGGAATCAAGACAAGTGACTTACCATAGACACAGGTGTGGGAGCATAAGTTCTTTAGCTCATCGGAAATAATAGGGCACGTCCATGGAATAATATTTAGTCTTCTGCCACTTAATCTCCCTAGCTTCTGATAATTTTTCCTACCCTAATTGTCCCTACATCTTATTGTAATTACTTATGTATAAGTGCGTCTCTGCAGAAAATTGTTAGTTCCTCTTGGAAGAGAACATATCTCATCACTTGTTTAATAATCTAATAATACATAATGTTGTACACTGCTAAAGCACATTATTATTTAATTGAATTACCAAACATACTTTAAGTAAATAGAGTTAATTAGGGAGTATTCAGCACCAGACAATGCAAGAGTAAATAAAGCAAATTAATATGACTAGTTCCAAATCTCAAAATTTTAAGTGTGGTAGAGGAAAATGATATTTTAGTATGTTCTTTGCATACACACAAAATGAAATAGTAAAACTGTTGAAAAAATAGCAATACACTCCATTTTATTGTTGCTTTTGGGACTAGCATTAATGGAGTTGTAGGATTTTAATAGGTATAATAGATTTGGGATGATGTGAAAAGTAGGTAGGAAAAAACATAAACAATGGCAGAAGAGACTGAATATTTTTGTGTGGTGTTAACAAATGTCTGAGTAAGTTCCTATCATTAGAATGCTAACATTTATTTACAGTAACACAATGATTATAATATTTGTCAAATAGAATTAATCTATTATTTCATATTATAGGTAATAATATTTTTATTTTATTTTATTGTTTTATTTATTTAAGACATAGTTTTGCTCTGTCTCCCAGGCTGGAGTGCGGTTGTGCAGTCTCGGCTCACTGCAACCTCCACCTCACTGGTGCAAGCAATTCTCCTGCCTCAGCCTCCTGAGTAGCCGGGATTACTGGTGTGTACCACCATGCCCAGTTGATTTTTGTAGTTTTAGTAGAGACGGAGTTTCGCGATGTTGCCCAGGTTGGTCTCAAACTCCTGATCTCAAGTGATCCTTCTGCCATTGCCTCCCAAAGTGCTGGGATTACAGGCATGAGCCACCATGACAGCCCAATATTTTCACTTTAACACTTTGCAAAACTACGTTAACTTTTTTTGAAAATTATGGTCATATTCACAATAGTAACCATCAGAAAAGAACAATATCTTTATTTTCTCCAAATAATACTTTAGAGTTTATTAAATAACAAATATATGAGAGGTGTTTAATGCATTACAAATGAGAAGATTCAATTTCAATCTACAATTAGATATAGGTTTAATCATTTTGCTGGTAAAAATGTAAAAGCCTAATGATAACAAGTATTAGCATGGATATAGAGTAACCATAACTTGTATATATTGATATAATCACTCTTGATAAATTTCTGTCAGTATCTACTTAGCTATACATGTTGCCCACTATTTTTACTCCAAATGTAATATCTAATTATGATGCATACATACATTCACCAAATACATATATTAGAATGTTTAGAGAAACAATACCTAGAAATAATCCAAATGTCCATCAATAGAATATTTTGCTATTGTCACAAAATGGCATACTATCTGTGTATTAGTTTGTTCTCATGCTGCTAATAAAGAAGACATACCCAAGACTGGGTAATTATAAAGGAAACAGGTTAAATTGACTCAAGAGTTCCACATGTCTGGGGAGACCCCACAATCATGGTGGAAGGCAAAAGAGAAGCAAAGGCACATCTTACGTGGCAGCAAGCAACAGAGCTTGTGCCAGGGAACTCCCATTTGTAAAACTATCAGATCTCATGAGACTTATTCACTACCACAAGAACAGTATGGAGGAAACCACCCCCGTGATTCAATTATCTCCGCCTAGCCCCCTACTTGACACAAGGGAATGATTGCAATTCAAGTTAAGATTTCGGTGGGGACACAGCCAAATCATATCAATCTGGTAATAAAAAGAAATGACATATAACTACATGCAACCAAAAGAAATCTTATGCAAAAGTGCATATATGCAGCTCCATTGACAGAAACCTACAAAATAGGCAAAATGTGTCTAAGATGTTAGAAGTCATGAGAGAGGTCAATCTTGGGTGCCGGATATAGTGACTGAAAGGGGAAATAAGGATAATACCTAGAGTGCTGATAATATTATATATATTTTTGGTTACGGTTCTAGGTGCAGGGGTATGTTCAAGCCAATGTTCACATTATTCTGAAAAAGAAAATGTGGGTACTATGAAGTTATTTAAGAAATATAAAAGAAAAATAATGGGAGGCTTGCCATAAAAGAGGTATACCATTACAGGAAATTAATACTTCTCACCCTCTCATCATCTACTTTCTTAGTGGTAGAGAATAGAATTCAGAAGCAAATAAGAAATTACATTTTTTTCTTTATTAGTGGTAACAATTTGCCAGTAATTTTACTTTAATGAAGTTACTTAGGAGAGCTTAGCTTAAACCTGCAACAAAAGTGGAAAATAATAACACCTTCCCAGATTTTGTATATTGTTTGCAGAAACTAGAGTCCTCAGAATAGATACAGCCAACTAGCCTATTTGTTAACCTATTTGTAGGTACAGAAGTTGGAGAATACTGCTCTCTTTTTGTTTGTTTGTTTGTTTTGTTGTTGTAGGGATGCTCCATGGGGAGAAAAGTCACAGGTCCAGCACCAGGCACAACTACAAAGGAGGTAACATTGGTTTGGTCACCTTTGCCTTTCCTGGCATGTGTCTTCCCAGGTAGGTGCCTCTACTGGGGCGAATACGACCCTTAATACTACATCTACTACCACAACTACATCTACTAATTAAAAGATGACATTTATCTAGTAGTTAAATATTTCTGGCAATCTCCTAAGCACTGATGTACATTATTAGTTCAATACATCTTCAGACACTATTATTATTGTCTATTATAGGCAAGTCTACTATGACACATACTGATCATAAACTTTGCCCAGTATCACATATTTAGAAGACAAAATGTGGTCTCAGGAAATCTGAATCTCATCCCTTTCCCTCTTGCTATACCTCTTCTTTTCCCTCCCCTTTCCTTGTCATGTTATGAATTAAGTCCATCTGTACAGGGACACCCCAATCTGCAACAATAATATTAAATTAGTAAGCTATTGTGATATCATAAAAATTGTAAAGAAAAGTTAAAATGCTAATAACATTTTTCTCAATAAGAGACTCCACAGTGACAAAATGTCTTTTTTTTTTAACTGTAGAGAATAGAGTACATGCTATGAATTCTTGGTGAACAACAACAGATAGTAGTGAATAAAACTTCAACTGCCCCCTGGAATTAATGAAAGGCCTAGGAAAAATAGTTATGTTGATTCTTGCTGGAATACATCAAGCTTGCTTTCATTTTCATCTCTGAAATTTATTTTCTTAAATTTTGAGCAAGTTTTTCAAGCCAAATCTTGACAAGAAATTTTATGTCTTCTTATTTTCAGTAAATGTGTCTTATTTAATATTATTATATAAAATTAGAATTTTTAGCTAATGTAGGGGTTCTTCTCCAAATAATATACCTAGTTTGAACATCTTTTAAATAACAGTAAAATGTAGATAAATCTGCCCTAAAGGTTTAGGTAGACTAATTCATAATGTAATCATCATACTCTTTATAAAAATGCTTTCATAATGTGTTACAGCTGGATAGAAATTGAACACACCAAGGAGTTTGTTACTTATATTATTTTTATTTTTGAAACAGATGGTTCTTTTATGGTAAATTGGATTTTAATAATACAGAGAGAAATGAAAAGTGTAATCTTAATATAAGTTTATTATAATTTAACAGAACATTCTGTAAAAATTATTCTTATCATTTCAAAAGTTTTACCTTGAAATTCACTCATTTTACAAATGTTTGTGTAGCTGGTAATCATCATTATCTACTTACAGAACTGTCTATATTATATATGTGAATTAGTCATTAGTTTAACAGCTAATCCTGATTAATATCAGGCCGTTTATGGGTAGACCATAAATCACAAGACATATTAATTAATGGAAATGAAATTAAAGGGATTGAGAAGTACCTTAATAAATAGTAACATGTAATTATTTTAATTACTTTCTTCACACCGTATATTTTAGTTACTCTCCTAAAATAAAGATACCTGAATAAGTTACTTCTATTAATTTTCTTTACTCTAAAACTTTTTGAATATGGCAAATAAAATAAATGATCTTTCAATACTAAATAAGGGATATAGTTTGGCTTTCAGATAGAAAGCAACTAGTTCACATGAAAGATGTAGAAATGGAAACACAGGCCTCTATTTTCTGGGCAGCAAACAGAACAAAATACAGCCCTGTCTCAGCGAAATGAACTTTTTTTTGGTGTATTAGTCATATATTCAACCCTTTGGCTGAAGTCTATAATTATTTCAAAAAAAAAATAATAAAGTGTTCATAGTTTATATGGAGACAAATACAAATAATGAGTTCTGTATGTAACTTTTAAATTATATACATATTTATTGTAATGCTTTGCTAGGACATCTAATACAATGTCTAATCAATATATCAGAATGAGTATTATTGTGCCTTTTTCCTATGTTTAAGTAGAATATTGCTAAGGTTTAATGGTCATAGACTTCAGTGACCCACACCCATAATTACATTCTAGACCATGTAACTGTTTGATAAGAATATCACTAATTAAAGGTTTACTTCTTCTAACTTTTGCAATGTAACATAGTATAACTACTCTTTGATCTCGAGATACATTGTGGTTTACTGACATTTCCACTTTTTCCCATTCAAAACCTACTTCTTTTTCTTCATTTTTCTCAAGCTTCTTTTAGTTTTTCTTGTCTATCATTACAGTAATACTTTTATTTTTATGCAAAAGTGTATTCATTCTCTTTCTTTTTCTCAATTTCTGCCAGCAAAAGTTTCAGTCTGTATGATTTTAAGCATCCAGTCTTTATCTTTGACTGTATTCAAGTGACTTACGTTGATATAAAAGTTCACATAAAATGTTGATATTTTCTGCTATAAACTCAGAAAAGTCACCTTTAACTTGTCCTACATTTTTGATCATTTTTTTCACATTCTATAGTAATTTTTCAAATGTTCTCTTTTTCAACTTTCAGTTCTTTATATCTCCATGCTTACTGAAAGCATGCAACTTCATAAGGAAAAATAGAAGCATTCAAAAAGAAAGTTGCAAAACTTCTTATTTCAAATACTATAACATCTGCACTCATCTTAGTCTCTTTATTCCTATCATAAAGGAAGAGCTGACCACTACCAGCAATTTGGATGCCAATCACTCTTGCTCTTCAAGGAATTTATATTACTGGTATTGAACAACCTTGGCAAGTAATTATATTAGTCTTCTTATTTTCTGTAAAAGACAGCATTTTTCTTGCTTCTCAATTTATATTCCTTTTTTTCCCCCTATTTTCATGTGTCTCCTTACTTTGACTAGGTTATTCCTCTCACGAAATTGAAGAGAGGCACTGAAAGATCATCTTATTGATCTTGCTGCACTAAATGAGAATGGTTGAAATATTCACTAAGAAGATTTATCATTATAAAACACACGTGTACATAATGTCAAAGCTGTAAAATCTATGAAGCAAAGCTTGACATAATTGAAGAAAAAAAAGATCCTAGTTGGAATCTTCAATACTGTACTTTCTATAGGGAATAGAACAATAAGATACAAAAGATAGAAAATCAATAAGGAAATAGAGGACTTGAACAATACTATGAAGTGATTGGACCTAACAGACATATACAGAACACTCCACCCAACAAGAGAAAAAAATATATACTTTTTCAAGTACACATGGAACAGTCTCCAGGATTAGATCATATGGTAGGCCAAATTCTAACACATTTCAAAGCATCAATAATAATGTGTTATCTCAATCCATCAACCAACAAAAAAGAAATAACAAATGTTGGTTAGGATGTAGAAAAATTTGAATGCCTGTGTGTTGCTGATGAAAATGTATATGCTGTGGAAAATGATACTGTGATTTCTCAAAAAAAAAAATGTGGAATGGCCATATGATCCAAAAATTTCATTTTTCAGTATATTTCCAAAATAATTGAAAGCAAAAGCTCAAATATGTATTGGTATATCAATGTTCATAGCATCATTATTCACAATAGCCAAAAGATGGAAACACGTTGTGTTCATCAACCAGTGAATAGGTAACCAAAGTAAGGTGCAAACATACTAGGGAATATCATTCAGTCTTGAAAGGAATGAAATTTTTCTACATGCTACTGCAGGAATAAATCTTAAACACATTATGCTAAGTAAAATAAGTCAGAAACATAAGGACAAATAGCACATAATTCAACTTATATGAGGTATCTAAAATAGTCAAATCATTGGACAGATAATAGAATAGAGATTTCCAGAGGAATCTGTCAGAAAGGAATATTGAGGAGATATTGTTGAATAACTACAAAGATTCAGTTTCAGATGATAAAAAGCTTCTGACGAATGGTGATTACTGTTGCACAACAGTGTTAGTTTACTTAATGGCACTGAATTGTACATTAAATGATTAAAATGGTTAAGTTTATGTTGTATGTATTTCATCATAATGAAACAGCAACAACAAAATAACAGAAATTAACTATTCTAAGAATTCCTGTTTACGCCCATGAGTCTGTCAGTTACTTGGATTATTTTTTTTCTATCTAAGCTGGGCTCAGTTTAGTTTATTAATGCATCTGTGTTCATTTATGGGTCATGTCAGATATGGATCATGTTGCATGTTAGATGAGCCCTCTCACATGTGTGAGGTTTGGCTAGTACAACCAGGCTGATTTAGCTCTACTTCATATTGTCTCTCATCCTCTAGAAAGCTAGTCCGTGTTCTGTTAGTCATAGTAAGTCACAAGGATACTCCAGATTCAAGAGATGGGAGAAGACACTCCACATTTTGAATACAGGAGCTCAAAATCACATTTTAAAGAGGATGTATAGGAATAATGTAGATTGATATCAGTCTAGCACAAAGATATATGTTTTAGCATTTTTGCTTATATATGTATGATTTACAATTTTAAAATTATGTTAATAAATATTTTTTCTATATTTTTTCACTATTCTTTTCTAGTTTTACTATCAGGATTTTAATAGCTTTATGACAAACAGTTCAGTAGATTTTTTGTTTTTATATTCTTTGGTGAAGGCTATTGATTTGGGATCACTAAACCATAGAATATTACATTATTTTGAAGATTACACTTTCAATTTATTTTGTTTATACATTGTGGCTATTTGTTGTATTATTTTTCCTAAATACAGAAAAATTATATATAACAATTTTCACATGCATTGTTACTTTTGAATAGACTTTCTAATACACATAGACCTTGATATTTTATTTGTATATTATAAATACTGCATTTAGCCAGGCACAATGCTTTATGCCTTTAACCCCAGTACTTTGGGAGGCCAAGGCAGGAGGATCAGATGAAGTGGCATGTGCTTGTAATCCCAGATACTTTGGAAGTTGAGGCCAGAGGATCGCTTGAGCCCAGGAGTTCAAAGTTATGGTGAACTATGATCATGCCACTGAACTCTGCTATGGGAAACAGAGTGAGACCCTGTTTCAAATAATAATAATAAAAATATAAATAAATGTTACATTCTAAATGAATATGATAGATAAATATATTCTATAATAAATATCATAATACATTTGATAAAATCTAACCTAAAATATTATATTTCTTATAGAATAGATAATTTGTATAATACATATTATACATGAAAGATCAAATTTTCACATCTGTATGAACACATAAACTGGAATGTGAATCTTCTTTATAATTAACATTCAAAATTCTAATATTATGTCTACTTTTAATTCATTCTATTTTCAGTTCATTTTGCTAGATTTTATTAGAGCAGAATTTGAGCAATATATTATGCTAAAGAATAGAGAATTCAGAGAAAATGAGTTTATTATTTTGTTCATTTTCATGAAGTATTTTGACCTTAGTTTTTCAAAACATAATAATGCTGTTGTAGGAAGTCATTCATCAGATGTCAATTTGCAACTTCAAATAGGCTACTTCATCCTTGGAATAACATTTGACAAGTACATAAATTACATAGCCAAAATATAATGTATTTTTTATTATCTTTGAGCATCTTGCCATCAACCTGCTTTCTCATTATTTTAAAGGAAAAACAGGAATGCAAGTCATATTTAGGAGATTTTATCTCTTAGACTATTTCCACTTCATTTTAAAAGGAATGTTTTCCTTAAAATTTGGAAATTACAAAGTGATGAACATGTTTTTGTTTTAATTTTATGTATCCTACTTTCTGACCAAAACTTTTTCCTATTTGAAATTACTCTGTTCTAGTGAGTTGACTGTGTTAGTTTCACACATTAATTGCATTGTAATCCATTGATCCTAGACACTTTTAACTTTGTCTTATATTCTTGTTATCTTCTCTATATCAATTTTTGGTTAAATACATATGGAATTGGGTTTAATCTTTCCTCTTCTCCCTCACCTCTTAGTCCTGGAGTCTCCCCTCCTCTCTGACTGTACTCATTTCAATGTTTTCTCATCTTTGATTTCAGTTATAAATCAGTGTCTTCCAACTATATCTCTCCAGACCAGATTTGTTTTCTTGAACACCATACTCACATATTCAACTATCTACTTGAAATCTTTATTTGGATGAATAATAGATATCCCAAGTCCAACATGTCCAAAATTAAACTCTTAATTCCCCTCCAAACTTGCTCCATAAGCAACCATCCCCATTTCAGTCAATAATAATTCCATCGTTTCTGTCGATTAGGTCAAATGCCTTTAAGCCATTAACAACTCCTATTTTTCACATAATCCACATACAATACATTGAGAAATATTACTGGTTGTATCCTTACAATACATTCAGATTCAAGCCACTTCTCAGTGCCAGCAGTGTTTCCAATATGGGTCAAGCTGTTCATCAATAGTGAATTGAGTAAATTTAACACCTTCTTAATATGTCTAACCCAGTTCCATCTTTCTGTCCTTCAGTCTATTTTCAACAGAGAAATAAAAATGATTTTATTCAAAGTCGAGTTATTTAGGATTCTGTGACCAGGTTCCAGCATTCCTTCTCCATTATCATACTATTCTGAACTCTTTTACAACTCACCTTGTCCCAGCCACATTGTTTTGTTTTGTTCATCACACCAAGCACGCTGTCACCATAGGGTCTTCACACTGGCTGCTCTCTCTGCCTGAAACCTTCTTTGCAAAAATAAGGATATTCATCCCTTCAGTTCTTTCAATTCCTAAAGAATTGCATTACAATAAAATAGATTTCTACCATTCGTTTATAAATATAAGTGTCAGCCAAGCACGGTGGCTCACGCCTGTAATCCCAGCATTTTGGGAGGCCGAAGCAGGGGGCTCACAAGGTCAAGAGATGGAGACCATCCTGGCCAACATGGTAAAACCCCGTCTTTACTAAAAATACAAAAATTGGCTGGGTGTGGTGGTGCATGCCTGTAATCCCAGCTACTTAGGAGGCTGAGGTGGGACAATCGCTTGAACCCCGGAGGCGGAGGTTGCAGTGAGTCAAGATCATGCCACTGCACTCCAGCCTGGGCGACAGAGTGAGACTCCGTCTCCAAAAAAAAAAAAAAAAGGAAATACAAGTGTCAACTACTCTGCTCAATGTTCTATTATACTTTTCATAGAATACATTGTCTTCTAAAGTACTCCACAAGTCACTTATTTTTATACCTATTATTTATCACCTGCCTTCCTCTTTTAAAATATAAATGTAATTAAGATAGGGATCATTGGTGTTATTTTGTTTGTTTGTTTTACTGATTTGTTAATACGAAAAGCCTAGAATAATGCCTAATACAAAATTGTAGCTCAATTGTTATTTGGAAAATAGTTACCAAGATCTCTCAGGAGAGAACACTGTCCATTTGAAATTAATGTATCAGGACTTTGAATGTGAAGTCCCATGGAGTTGTGACCCCACCCTCAGGATACAGAGGGAATATGACAGGAGGCTGTATTATGGAAGTTTTGGGGAAGGGTCAAAGTTTGGTATTCAAATTGTCATTTCTAAGGTATAGTACTTTCAATGAGATAAAGTTGATGGGAGCAGCAGAAAAATGTATCCTTCCCCTATATCCAACCCAATTTAGCTGAATCAAGATGGATTCAGCTGGCAAAGATAAATATGGTTTGTTGAGACTCAGGCACATTATCGAATTGTAGAGTAAAGAAAGAAGAGTTTCATGTATTCAGAGTTGAGCAATAATAGCATAATTTCTGAAAAGTTTCAACAGACCAGAAAAGTTAGCAATTGAGCAATTAGAGCAGATAATATACAATGAAACGGTTATTAGAAAAAGAACAGAGATATTAATAAAAATTTGCCTTTCCGCTAATAATGTAGGTGAATAGAATTCTATTGAACAAAAAATCTGAGTTCTTAACATAATTTTATTCTATCTATGCTGACTTTATTTTCCATTTTAATTTATATTCAATATGAACTTTTTCATGTTTTAAAATGTTTAACTTTCTTACCAAATGTATTTAAATATTTTATGTTGTAAATATTTTAGGTTTATAATTGCCTTCAATATTCGACAGATGAATCTTCATTCTCTCTACATTCTATTCACAAAGGTTTGAAAACTGAAAGACAACTTTTTGGTTAAAAAATTATGAGGATTGAAAAAATATAATCTCTAAAATTCACAAGAAATATCCATCCCCACACAACAGTTAGATAGCTTTATTTTTAATGTCTCTATATAAGGAAATCAAGCAATAAAATATTGCCAATAACTTAACTTCATTTTTTAACTAAACTTAGGAAACCCCCCAAATTTTATGTTAATAAAATTGCAATTTTCCATTCTTTTAGCTCATTGGTGTGCTATAATAAAATAAACACGTAACTCATAAATAATATAGATTTATTATTCACAGTTCTAGAGGCTGGGAAGTCTAAGATCATATGACCAGCAGATTCAGTGTCACGTGAGGGCCTGTTCTACAGATGCTGTACACTCCCAGCATCTTCACATGGCGGGAAAGGCAGAACATACAAACGTTGTGTCCTCACATGGTGGAAGGAGCAAAAGGCAAAAAGAGGATAAATGCTGTCTTCACATGTAAGAAGAGATGGAAGGGCAAAAAATGGGCTAGGAAGTTCTCTGAGGCTTCTTTGATAAGGTCGCTAATCTCATTCATTAAGACTTCACCATCATAACCTCATCATCTCTAAAAGGCTTTACCTCTTAATACTATCACATTGGCAATTAAGTTTCAACACATGGATTTTAGGAGGACAAGGTTAGTCCATAGCAATTATCAAAAAAATGGTCTTAAGTGAAATATCATACAGTTGAGGATTGGTGAATTAATTATGCTATTATAATGAGTCTACATATACAATATTATATTGCCTTTAAGCTGTTACTTAAAAACATTTTTATCAACAAAGAAAATATTTATGAAAAATAACATAATAAAACACGTCAAAAAAAAGTTGTACCATGTTAAGGGCATATTTTGTTGAAGCACATCAAATGGTTCATATGGTCAAATAACATGATTTTCATGTGCTTCAACCTAATAAATGTTATGAGAGAAAGACGAAGAAGGAGAGAAAGGGTGGGGGGTCTTGCAAACTATTAACTGTGATTAAAGCATCTATCCAGCCTGGAGGCCCATTGTTTGGGTTTAAATCTGAGTGTGTCTGATATTTCAGTGCTGTACCTCAGTTTCCTCATTACCAAAGTGCTAATGAAAGCAATAAGGAGCATTTCATAAGTTGGTGAAAATACCCACAAAGTTCTTAGAATGATGTCTGGAATATACTTGCTTCTCTATAGTTGATAAAGTATTTTAATTTTCTCTGTTTTTTTGGATAGAGTCTGTATTATTCAATAATAACATTCAATAATCAAGTGTTTTTAATAACATAAAATGCATATTTTACACATATGGATCCATTATGCAAAGGAAACTCTCTTAAAAATAAATAAAATTAATTAAATAACTCCTTAATTCCCTGATCATTTTTTATTGTGGAGGGCTATCCTATACATTGTAGGAAGTTTACTCACATCTCTGGACTCTAATCACTAGAAGCCACTAAACCCCACCCCTCTCCACCGCAACCTGCAAGTTTTGGCTGTCAAAAATGGTTCAAGGATTGCCAAATATCCCCTGGGGTGGTGGGGGTATTAAAAAACACCCTTCCCCCAGTTGAGAACCACCATACGAGATTGATATGAATGTATCAATATTTTCTGCAATTGCAAATAACTCTTTAATTAGACAATGATGCTTCAGCAACAACTTAGAGAGTGAAAATTCTCAGAACTGATTTTTATATACCCTGATCTAACAAAATGGAATTCCAGTTTGTATTTTCACAAGATGTGAAATAAGATTTGATGCAGAGGCCAGAGATAAATATTTTCCAGATGTTTCTGTACATTGTTAACAATCTAGAAATTACTTTCATATCTAAATGTTAATAATTTAGAGATTTTATTTATGCAAGTCATACTGTTAAATATGTTTTTTATCTAGCAGTATAGGTAGACTTTTACAAAACCATGAGTGACATTTCAAGTGTCATATAAATAAATATGAGAATTAGTATAACCTGAATTACTGCCTACACGGGACAAAATAGTTTAAAGGTACTCAAAGATTTAATAGCTAATCCTTGTTTGTATATGCTACATCATGTATTTGAATGTTCGGAAAAAATCAATTTTATACATTACAAACTATAGAAAATCAGAATAAATTGCTAATTTAAAAGATAAGTTTCACCATTTTCTGTAGATTTGTTGTTCTCTTGTCTTTTTCAACTAATGAATGACATTCATAGTTAATGTGAATGTACAAGAATCATAACTTTGTAAAAGTGTAAGATAAGTTACCTTAATCTTTCTATTTACAGAAGCTAATGAAATTTTAAGACATAATGCCTGGTCAATAAATACTTTTTGAATCCATTTGTTTTGTTGGAGAGTGTGAACTTTGCCTGCCTTAAAATTTTATGTTACCTAATTCTTCCCTCTAGAAGTATGTCCTGAACTCAAAAATATGCAATTAAATTCTCCTGTAACTTCCTAATAAAGCAATTTAGGGGCTTTCTCTTCCATCCATTCTTCTTTTACTCATGGGCTAGCTACACTTTGAACATTCTGTCACTTTGTATTGAGTCACCTATTTATATAATCATGCTCTTGGTCATATTTATCTAGACTTCTCTTGACATCAGAATGACTTTCAACTTTTTCGGCTGTCTCATTATTTACCTTTAACTTCTCATATATTTTACTAAAATTCCAAGCATGTTCCACCAGTATTTTGACCAAATACAGAATATATATATATGTGCAATATTGTGAAAATATGTAAACTAGACATCCAAATTTTGCTCATAATCATTAGAAAACAGTATTTTTCTAACCTACTTAAAGTTGAACTCATTTTTATCCAAGTATGTAACATGCTTTTGGCTGCTTGGAATATTTCTTTTAACTATTTACTGCCTTACATTTGGGATTATATTTACCCCATATAATTTGTTTTGACCAATGGGTTGTGGGTCAAAGTGACAATGCCTCACTTCCAAGATGAATCTTAAGAGATATCATGAGTTTCAGCTCACTTTTATGCTCTGGCCCTGCTCCATAAATGCAATGGTCTCAGGTCGAGGGCCTTTCCTTTATCTTAAGCTATGGAAAGAGATGATATGTTGAGTCAAATCAAGCCTAGTTCAGGTAAGCGCAGTGGAGACCAGAGGAGCTAGAGGAGGCTTAGTTGAACAAAAGCACTCATATGAAAAGAGCAAGAAACAAATATTTGATGATGTCAATATTGAAGTGGTGAGACTGTTTTTATATTATATAACTTACTAAAAGCTGACTAAAATAAGCCTTAATAAAGTATTTCAGTCCTGCTTCTATATTCTAGAATTTTCCCTTCATCTTCCAATAAGTTATATAAATTTTAAGGTAGAAAAAGAATGAAAACAACCCTACAAGACATTATTAATTAGTTTATTGTTGATCACACATTATATAATGTTGATTACATATATTCCAAAACATTGTGTCTCACTTATATTGATAACACAACTGGTTTGAAGAGTGTGCATGTATTATTTTCCTATTAACTAGGATAAAATAAATTTTTAGGATTTAGTCTATTTATTCTTGTGACAAATTTAGCGAGTTGAAAGCTTGAGTTAGAAAGATTAACTTTTAAAATCAGGGCTATAAAACTTCATTTATATATTATTTGATTGATTATTTTTCAAAATTTTTTTATTTTTACTTGATAAATAAAGATTGTATATATTTATGGTCTTTAACATGATGCTTGGTATATATATTGTGGGATAATTAAATCAACTTAATTAGCATCTTTTACCTCACAGACTTATCATTCTTTTGTGGCGAGAACATTTAAAATCTACTTTCTTAATAATTCTGAAATATATAATACATTATTACTAACTACACTCACCATACTGTATAATAGCTCTTTAGGACTCATTCCTAGTGTCTAACCTAAATTTTGTATCCTTTTTCAGGCATCTTCCCATCTCCCAAAAGGTAGTTACCACCATTCTACTCTTATTACTGTAAGGTTGACATATTTAAATTCTACATGTGTGTGAGATCAGGTGGTATTTGTCTTTCTGTGTCTGTCTTATTTTACCTAACATAATGTCTTCTATGTTCTTCCATATTATTGCAAATGACAGAACTTTCTTCATATTTAAGACATCACAGTATTTCATTTAGTATATATACCACATTTTCTTTATTTATTCCTTGGTGGACAGTTGCTTTGATTCCAAATTTTGGCTATGTGAATAGTGTTGCAATAATCGTGAGGGTATAGTATCTCTTCAACATACTCATTTTATTTAATTTGGGTATATACCCCAAGAGAGATTGTAGAATCTTATGATAGTTCTATTTTTAATTTTCTAAGGAACCTCAACACTAATTTTTTCTTAGCTCCTGCACCATTTTTCAATCCTACCAAGAGTGTACAGTGGTTCCAATTTCTCCACATTCTTGCCAACACTTATGATATGATTTGGATGGTTGTCCTCCTGAAATCTCATGTTGAAATGTGATTCTCAAGGTTGGAGGTAGGCCTGGTGGGAGGTGATTGAATCATAGTGGCGTATGCCTCATAAATGGCTTAACACGATTCCCTTGTTATTTCATTAAGAACTTATTATCAACTTACTGTCTTTCTTTTTTGATAATAGTCATTCTAATAGGTGTGATTGTCATTTTGATTTGCATTTTCCTGATAATTAATGATGCTGGGCACTTCTTAATATACCTGTTGGCAATTATTTAGTGATATGTCTGTTCAGGACCTTTGCCTGTTTTTTTTTGTTTTTGCTTTTTGTTTTGAGATGGAGTCTTGCTCTGTCGCCCAGGCTGGAGTGCAGTGGCATGATCTCGGCTCACTGCAAGCTCTGCCTCCCGGGTTCACGCCATTCTCCTGCCTCAACCTCCCGAGTAGTTGGGGCCACAGCGCCCGTCACCATGCCCGGCTAATTTTTTGTACTTTTAGTAGAGGCAGGGTTTCATCGTGTTAGGCAGGATGGTCTGGATCTCCTGAACTCGTGATCCACCTGCCTTGGCCTCCCAAAGTGCCTGGATTACAGGCGTGAGCCACCGCGCCTGGCCCCTTTGCCTGTTTTTAATCAGGTTATTTATTTTATTTTTTTGCCGTTGAGTTGCAAAGTTTTTAAATGTATTTTGGATATAACCCTTATCAGATGCATGGTTTGCAGATTTTTTTTTCACATTTAATAGTTTGTGTCTTCACACCGGTTATTGTTTCCTTTGCTGAACTGGGCATTTTAGTTTGATGCAATTCTATTTGTTCATTTTTTCTTTTGCCACCTGTGCCTTTGAAGAATACGCTTAAAGTTCTGGGAAAAGGCCGGGCGCGGTGGCTCACGCCTGTAATCCCAGCACTTTGGGAGGCCGAGGCGGGCGGATCACGAGGTCAGGAGATCGAGACCATCCTGGCTAACACGGTGAAACCCCGTCTCTACTAAAAATACAAAAAATTAGCCGGGCGTGGTAGCGGGCGCCTGTAGTCCCAGCTACTCGGGAGGCTGAGGCAGGAGAATGGCGTGAACCTGGGAGGCGGAGCTTGCAGTGAGCCGAGATCGCGCCACTGCACTCCAGCCTGGGCGACAGAGCGAGACTCCGTCTCAAAAAAAAAAAAAAAAAAAAAAAAAAAAAAAGTTCTGGGAAAAACACAAGAAAACAAAAACAAAATCCTTCCAACCAAGAATATTAATTTGTTTTTAGTTTAAGTAAAACCATAAGATTGACTTCAGCCACAGACAAAATAATTACTTAAAAGCTTTGATTCAATTTCCAATAATATAGTTTCTCTCTACAATCTGTGTAAAATTAAGCTCCATTTAACTTTTAATGTAATCATACTGTACTTGGCCACAAATTATGAGTATTCATGCAGATATTTGCAATGAGATAAAATAATTTTGGCTATCGAAATTTTTGAATGGACTGCTTTGCATTGTTTTTGTAAGCTCAGACTTTCTTATTATAATTTTATAGAATTAATGCATAGGTTTTGGAATCTTTGAATCACTGATCACACCTATAGTTTTCTTGGGTCTGGAGAGAACAGATATAATCTATGTAGTTATATTTTATTGAGGTAGAGAAGCTAATATTTGCCTTTGAAGTTTTACACCTTCTCTATAATATTCAGTGTTAAAAGTAAGTCAGCTATCTCTGACTAAATTCGATTACATAAGGGTATGTATGTTCCTAAAGTTAACTAGAATTAAAAAGAATCTAAATTAATAACAAGATATGATACTGATGTTCTAGATTTATAATGGGGAGAACCTTGACATGCAGGTATTTAAGGCTAGAAGTTTCTATGAATTTAGCCTCTTTGGTATACACAGTGCATTAACAGCAGATAATAGAAAAGCTCATTGTAGAAGTCTACATTTATTTTGTATAACTTAAAACTATTCAGACTTACTGAGACTTGATTTATGGCCCAGACAAAAGTCTGTCTTGAAAAAATATTTTATTTGCAGTTGAAAAGAATGTTAATTTTTTTATTATAAGTTGAAATGTTTCATAAATATTAATTCTGTCAAGTTGGTTGATGCAGTTGTTCAAGTCTTCTATAATCTAATTGATTTCCATTGGTCAATCTATTACTTAGATAAGATACATGGAATTATTTGAGCATATTTGTAAATATGTGTATTTTTCTTTACAGTTCCCAGTTTTGCTTCATATCTTTTGCAGGTCTGTCATTGTGTACATAAACTTTTAGGATTATTATGTTTTCAGATGAACTGACTCCTTTGTCGTTATGAAATGATCCTCTTTATTGCTTGCAATCTTGCTCTTAAACAGTTTATCTGACATTAATACAACCACTCCATCTTTCTTCTGATTTGCATTATCATTGTATATCTTTGCCATCTTTTATTTTCTAAAGACTTATAATTATTTTATGGTAAACTTTATATAGGCAGTATAGAGTTGGTTATTGTGCTCTTATCCAATCTGAAAATCTGTGCCTTTGAATTGGGTGTACACATCATTTTTATTTAATGTAATTATTGACATGGTTTTAAATATATAACCTTCTTGTGGTTTCTATATGTCTAATCTGTATTTTCCTCTTTTTCTTTATCTTTCTTTTCCTTATTTGGATTAACTGAGCATATTTTATCTGTTTTAACTGAAAAACCACTTTATTGAGGTATAAGTGACATATAAAAAGCTATACATATTTAATGTCTACAACTTGAAGAAATTGGAGCAAAGTGCACACCTGTGAAAAAAATAACCACAATTGTGCCATAAGCACATCCATCACCTCCAAAAGTTTCCTCCTTCTTTCTTCTTTTATTATTTTTTATAAGTACACAATATAAGAGCTGCTATCTTAGAAAATTATTAAGTATATGATAGAGTATTGTTAACTGTAGGCACTATGCTGCACAAGAAATCTCTAGTACTTATTCATTTTGCATAACTAAAGCCTTCTCATTTCTTAATACCTTCTCATTTTCTCCTCTCCCTATCATCTGACAACTACTATTCTACCCTCTGCTTCTATGAGTTTGACTATTTTAGATTCCACATAAGTCATATCATATAGTATTTGTCCTGCTGTGTCTAGATTATTTTACTGAACATAATGTCCTCCAGGTTCATCCGTGTGTTACAAGTGGTAGGATCTCCCTCTTTTTAAAGGCTGAATAATATTCCATTGTATGTATATGCAGTAGTCACCCCTTATCTGTGGTTTTACTTTCCACAGTCTCAGTTACCCCTGGTCAACTGTGGTCCTAGAATATTAAATGGAAAATTTCAGAAATAAACAATTCATGTTTCAAATTTTGTGCCATTCTCAGTAGTGTGATAAGATCTCACGCTGTCCCACCTGGATGTGAATCATCCCTTTGTCCAGTGTATCCACGCTGTATATGCACTACAGGTTTTTTGTGTTATTTTAGTGTATATTTTAACATTTATAGAATCATCATTAATTTATGGTCTAACTTCAACTCACATAGACCAGTGTAAATAGGGCTTAAGAAAAGTAAAACTTCTATTGCTCCTCTCCTAGTCATTCAGCTACTTTCATCACAAATTTATCCTGTATATATGTTCTAAGTCTCACAAGGTATTGTTACTACTTTTTATTAAACATTTTTTTTGTCTTTCAGGATAATTTTAAAAACTTTATATTTTCTATGTGTTAAACTTTCTGGTGCTCATCACTCTTTTGTACTGATCCAGGTTTCCACAAGATATATTAAGTATAATGTTTATTCTGAATGTAAAATGTTCTTAAATATTTCTTTGTGTTTGGATCTAATCATAGTAAAATCTTCTAATCTCTGTATGTCTAAAAAGTCATTATTTCATAATTGTTATTGTAACATACCTGTGCATTCTATATCAAAAGGTTTTGTTTTTGATTTTAAATTAAGTACTTTAAATATGTTGTTCTATTGTCTTCTATTTTGCATTCTCTTCAGTGAGGAATCTGCTGTTATCCTTATCTTTGTTTCTTAGTATATATTTTTTTGTCTTGTAGCTGCTATGGCAATGTAAGAAACTTTCTTTCCACTCTCTGAAGGCTTGATAGTTTGAGTTTCTGGGCTAAATTTGACATTAGACAGAGAAAAAAAGCATACTAATTTATTAAATGCAAATGCAAAGAAATCATGCACAGTATAAGATTTAATAAAGGGCCAGATGGTTAAAGTTTAAATAACATTTTAAGCTGCAGAGAAAATAGCAGCTTAGGGCTTCTTAGGGGAGGATGGTGTCACAAGCAATGAGAGGGTGAGAGAGGTAAACTCATGATGAACAAATGTTGTCTTGTTATGAAGATGAGATATTTCAGGTAGCAGTCCTCAGAAGAATACTATGTGTCAACATTTAGTCTCCTATTCTGTAAATCAGTCTTCCTAGTTTAATGAGATTGTGGGAAGGAGACTCATGACAATTAACTTCCTTCTGGAGGAATTTCCTTTAGTCAGATGAAGAAAGTTCAGAGACAGCCCCTCCTAGGCTTCGGGAGAAAAAGAAGAGTGAGAGTCAGGGTGATAGGAAAAGATCAGAAAGACCTTGTTTCTCCTTTAGGTGAAACACTCAGCATGCCAAAATTATCATATGTGGGGCATCATTTTCTGAGCCCCCAACATTGCTTTTAAGATGTTCTCTTTATCACTGTTTTTAAGCAATTTGATTATAATATACCTGCATGAAATTTTTCTCATGATTTTATCTTGGAGTTCAATGAGACTATATAAGTTCATGGCTTGCATCAAATTTTCATATTCTCAGACATTATTTTTTCATTTAGTGGTTGTTTTTCACATAAAATGAGGTGAATATTTCAGGGAAGTAGGAATAAACACAAGAATGTGTCCAGATTCCTTTGGGCAATTTTCTCATTCTCCAGTGGGTCACAGTCATCAGCATTGTTAACCCAATTTGGGGCTGTAAGAACCAGAATACCACTAAATATCTCATCTTTGGTTTTCCATAGAAGTATATATGTACTGAGAAAAGTTTTCCATGAGGGACAAGCTGCATTATAAAAGCCACTATTTAATGCAAGAAACTTTAGGACTGTTTGACTTCCCCAAGCTTATGGATATACAGCAGCATAATGGACTATAGAAAAGGTCAACTGTTCTTCCTCATCTCGCGAGCGAACCAGCCAGCCAAGTTTCTAATAAATTGCTTTGTTTCTGCCCATAGAAAACATAGATTTCCTCATTTTATACTTAATGTGGATTTGAATCTAGGCAACCATTGACTGAAAGAAAGAGAAAAGTTTTGCCCTCTCAGGATAACTTTTAGTACTAGTTGCTGAAAAAGGTTAGCACACATTGGAAAAACATTGCATCTGCCTGGAGGTCAGGTCTTTGAAATTTTTCTTTCCAGTACTCAGCTGGCAACCACGTCCTCACTTTCTCCTTTATAGGCAATCGAGTATGCTGATTATATAATCAGACAAGTTTACTATTAATTACCATGGATTTCCCTAAAACAATCTATGAGCCCATTTTTACAGTGCTATAAAGACATAACTGAGACTGGCTAATTTATGAAAAAAAGAATTTTAATTGATTCACAGTTCCACAGATGTACAGGAAGTATGGCTGGGAGTCCTTAGGAAACTTACAATCATCTGCAAATGTGAAGCAAGCATGTCTTCACATGGTGGCGAGAGAGAGAGCAAAAGAGGAAGAGCTATACACTTTTAAACACTCAGATCTCTTAAGAATTCATTTATTATCACAAGAATAGTAAGGGGGAAATCTTCCCCCATGATTCAACCACCTCCTACCAGGCCCCTCCACCAATATTGGGAATTATAATTCCACTTGAGATTTAGGTGGCGACATAGAGGCAAAACATTATTCCATGGTGGCTCCTCACAAGTCTTATGTCTCTTTCATATTTCAAAACACAATCATTTTTTCCCAACAGTCCCCCAAATTCTTAACTAATTCCAGCATTAACTCAAAAGTCCAAGTCCAAAGACTCATCTGAGACAAGGCAAGTCTCCTCTGTCTATAAGCCTGAAAATTAAAAAAAAAAGTTAGTTACTTTCAAGATATAATGGGGGTATATGCATTGGGTAAATGCTGGTGTTCCATAAGGGACAAATTGGCCAAACAAAGGGGCTACAATCCTGCCCCAGCAGGGCAGTCATTAAATCTTAATGCTCCAAAATAATTTCCTTTGACTCCATGTGTCACAACCAGGCCACAGTGATGCAAGGGGTAGGCTCCAGATGCCTTAGGCAGCTTTGCTCTTGTGGCTATGCAGGGTACAGCACTTACAGTTGCTTTCATGGACTGGAGTTGAGTGCCTGCTTCTTTTCCAGGCACATGATGCAAGCTGTTGATGGATCTACCATTCTGGGGTCTGGAGGACAGTGACCCTCTTCTTATAGCTTTACTAGGCAGTGCTCCAGTGGGGACCCTGTGTGGGGATAACAACCCCACATTTCCCCTCCACACTGGACTAGTAGAGGTTATCCATGAGGGCTTCATCCTTGCAGCAGACTTCTGTCTGGACATTCAGGTGTTTTGATACATCCTCTGAAATCTAGGCAGAGGCTCCCAAACCTCAACTCTTGCCTTCTGCACACCCACAAGATCAACACCATGTGAGAGCTGCCAAAGCTTGGGGTTTGCACCCTCCAAAGCCACTGCCTGAGCTGTACCTTGGCCCCCTTTGTGTGTGTGTGTGTGCGTGTGTGTCTGTGTGTGTTTGAGACAGAGTCTCGCACCATCGCCCAGACTGGAGTACAGTGGCGTGATCTCGGTTCACTGCAACCTCTGCCTCTTGGTTCAAGTGATTCTCCTGCCTCAGCCTCCCGAGGAGCTGTGACTACAGGCATGTGCCACCACGGCCAGCTAATTTTTATATTTTTAGTAGAGATGGGGTTTCACAATGTTGGCCAGGATGGTCTTGATCTCTTGACCTCATGATCTGCCCGCCTCAGCCTCCCAAAGTGCTGGGATTACAGGCGTGAGCCACTGGCACCCAGTACCTTGGCCCCTTTTAGCCACAGCTGAAGCTGGAGTGGCTGAGACACAAGGAACCATGTCCTGAGGCTGCACAGAACAGCAGGGTCCTGGGCCTGACCCAGGAGACGCTTTTATCCCCCTAGGCCTCCAGGCCTAGGATGGGAGGGGTTGCCAGAAATGTCTCTGAAATACCCTGCAGGCATTTTCCCCATTGTCTTGAGTATTAACATTTGGCTTTTCTTTACATATGAAAATTTCTACAGCCTTGAATTTGTCCTCAGTAAATCCTTTTTTTTCCCTTCTACCACATAGTTGGGCTGCAAATTTTCCAAACCTTTAAGCTCTGCTTTCATTTTAAGTATACGTTCTAGTTTTAGGTCATTTCTTTGTTTGTGCAAAGTAGCATAGCGTTTTAGAAGCAGCCAAGACACATCTTGAATGCTTTGCTGCTTAGCAATTTCTTTGATGAGATACTCTAAATCATCACTCTCCAGTTAAAAATTTCACTGATTCTTAATGCAGGAGCACAATGCTGCCAGTCCTGTTGCTCCACCATAGCAAGAGTGACCTTTACTCCGGTTCCCAATAAGTTCCTCATTCCCTTTGAGCACCTCATCCTGGACTTCACTGTACCTGTCACTATCAGCATTTTGGTCACAATCATTCGACAAGTCTCTAGGAAGTTCTAAATGTTCCCTCAACTTTCTGTTTCTTCTAGTCCCTCCAAACTCTTTCAACCTCTGTGCATTACACAGTTCCAAAGTCACTCCTACATTTTCAGGTTTCTTCATGGCAATACCTCCCTCCCAGTACAAATTTTCTGTATTAGTCTGTTCTCATACTGTTATAAATAGCTACCTGAAACTTGGTAGTTTATAAAGAAAAAATGTTTAATTGATTTGCAGTTCTGCAGGCTGTACAAGAAGCATTGCTTGGGAGGTCTTAGGAAACTTACAATCATTCAGAAAGGTGAAGGGGAAGTAAGCACATCTTCACATGGCAGCAGGAGAGAAAGAGAATGATGGGAGAACTGCTACACACTTTTAAACAACCAGTTCTCATGAGAACTCACTCACTATCATGAGAATAGCAAGAGGGAATTGACTCCCATGATCCAATCAACTCCCACCAGATCCCTCTCCCAACATTGGGGATTACAACCCAACATGTGATTTGGACAAGGACACAGAGCCAAACCATGCCAAATAACATTAGTTACTCCCTGAAGTGCCTATCTTCCCTTTTAAGAAACTTATGTTTATTTCAGTATCATACACTCCTATTATTATATAACTGTAAGAAACTGTTAAGAGTGTGAAATTTTATTCCACTTCCATGCTGACAATTTAACTTGTCACAGTTTAATGATGCTGGAAGAAAACCATACTCCTGGGTCAGGGATCAAGACATCTTATTACTCACAAAAATAGTAACTGATATAGTTTGGATGTGTGTCCCTGCCCAAATCTCATTTGAAATGTAATCCTTAGTGTTAGAGATGGGCCTAGTGGGAGGTGATTGGATCATGGGGGAAGATTTCTCATGAATGATTTAGCACCATACTGTTGGTACTGTCCTTTTGATAGTGAAAGAGCTCTAGTAAGACTGGTTGTTCACGAGTATGTTGCACCTCCCCCTACTCACTCTCTTTCTCCTGCTCTATCCATGTGACATGCCTACTCCCCATTCACCTTCAAGCATGATTGTAAGTGTCCTGAGACCTCCCCAGAAGCCAAGTAGATGCCAGCAGAATGCTTCATGTACAGCCTGAAAAATCATGATCCAGTTAAATCCCCCATTTTTTGTATAAATTACCCAGTTCCAGTTATTTCCTTATAGCAATGTGAGAACAGGCTAATAGAGTGATGGATAATATATTAGTGGTTCTAATTTTTAGTGTTTCTTCAAGCCTGGTTCCCTAACAGTGACATTGTAGGATAATCGGTCATGGTGGTGGGAAAAGTTATAAGAAAAATTATAGGGAAAGACCCAAACCTTCTTGGAAGGCTGAGAGGTTTTACAAAAGCTCTGGGAGAGAATTTTGGCTGAAGGCAGCCAAATTCTCTTATCCGGAGGCTGAGAGCAAAGGGCACATAACAAGAGAATGTAGAGGAACTTATCTAGATACATTTGCTTACTCCTGTCTCCAGAAACCAACCTTTGATCATTTGCATTCAGGATTGCTCTCTACTTGGGGGGTTGACAATGTTTATTACCCACAAATGGTGTTTGCTCCAAGTCTTTGTCATTAAATCTGTACTAAATAAATGCAAGCGGGGCCGGCTTGTCGGGTGGCACTCTCATCAGCAGTGCTAAGCTGTGCAGTCCCCAGGCATGCTATCAGGCAAAATACCTGTGTCAGCATACTTCTTTCATCCATTGCTCAGCCAGAGTCTGTGGGACAGACTCAGCATGACATGAAGAAGGCAAGATGGCACCTGTACACACGCAGAGTTGCATTACAGAAGCTTAAAGAATTTGAATCTTTTGGAATGGGCAATAAATATTCTTAATATTCACTTTAGTAGAAAACATTAGCTTTGTCACCAAAATCTGTTCACATACAAGCATCCTTGAAAAGATAGTCCATGAGAAAGGGTAATTAGGCCATCGCTCAAAAGACACGCAGTAATATGATAAACTATGGAGAACTGTCTTCCAACAATTGTATGTCTTCATGTTTTCTAGTATTTCTTCTTCAACATTAATATGTTAATTACACGCAATATACAACATGAAGGTTTTTATATAACCCATATATCTACTTAACATGTTCCATCTTTAGCTTCGTGAAGATATTGATTAAAAAGTTATGGCACCTCTTTTAATGTTTCTGTGTACTAATTTTGTCAAATGTATTATTTTTCATTGTTTTGGATTCATTCTTTTTTACCCTTTTCATGGATTTTGTTTTCCTGCCTCTTTATATCCCTGGTAATATTTCACTGGATACCAGACATTGCAATTCCAATTTTAATTTATACAGATATTTTTGCATTTCTTTAAATACTCCTGAGATATTTTTCTGGGACTTAGAAAAGCTAATGGGGAGCTTGATCTTTTTAAATCTTGATTTAAGATTTCTCAATGAGGCCCAGACCTTCCTTTAAAAAAAAAAAAGAAAGGAAGAAATAACTAAATTTCCACACTACTGAGGCAAGGCCTTTTTTAGTACTCTAACTAATGCTACCTGAATTATGAGGTTTTTCATTCTAGCTGTTGGGACCAAGCTCTATTCTTGGCATCATCTGTGAGTTTGGAAGACTGTTTTCCACAGTTATTTTAGTTTGCTTTTTTTCTCTGCCTTAGAGAGTTTCCTTAAATACATGTACTGATTAGCAGTCATCTAAATACTTAAGGAATAGTCATAATATATTTGGGGATATGTAAAGTTTTTTTTATCTGTGAACCTATTTCTTCCATTCTATCCCATTTACTTTAGTTACCTTGGCTTCTATAAAGCTCCATCTCATCATCTTAGGGAGATTTCTGGGCTTTGTCTGGCTTTGATTCCTTGCTCTGCATCCTAGAAAATTTCTCCAGTCAGTAAGCTGAGGGTATTTCTTAAGCTCACTTCAACTGTTTTCTGTCTTTCAGGGATACCTGTCTTTATTGCCTGATATTTAATATTTTGAGTACTATTGTCTCATATATTTTTAGTTGTTTCTGCTGAAAAGGTACATCTGGCCCCTGTTACTCCATCTTGCCTGAAAGGTGACATTCTAATTTACATTTTGAAAGTTTAAACATTCCTTCAATACTGACATCAAATATTTCCACCACTACCTAGCTTCTTTACCAATCAAAGTTGGAGATAATTTTCCCCCTCTGGGCACATGTAATATTTTGCATGTAACTGGAAAATTTCTACATTAACTTATATAATTTTATATTTTGTCCATTCATTTCAGTTCAAACTACTGCATGTTGTGAGGGCAGGTTTTAGTCATTGTCCACAAAATTTACATGTAATAAATTACCAATAAAATGTCAAGGTGAAAAAAAGTGATTATGTAATTATTTCTAATCATTAGGTGATAAATATAGAAACCAAACTATCCCTGATCTGGCAATATCCAATTAATGAAGGAAACATAGAAAATGCATTTAATAAAACAAACTTAAATGTGGTGCTCCATCGTCAGAGCCATTTGAGTTAACATTATGTTTTTACTTTGTCATATCTCCTAATTTTCTAAATCTTAGCTTTAATATTTCTTACTTATATAATAGAGATTAGAATATTTTATGCTTCATAGGCATTTGGGTTGATTAATTAAGTTAATGCATACAAAAAACAGCCTGTACTTTTGAACAGGACATTTTGAATATATTGAGCTATTATAATAGGCTATGTTGGGTGTAAATGATAGAAAAAAGTAAAAATCCCTTAAAACTCAGGATTGTGTGCATGTATATATGTGTGTATGTACATATGTGTGTGTGTGTGTGTGTGTGTGTGTGTATATATATATATATATAAAATATTTATGTCATGTAGAATCCAGAAGTCAGGAAGCACCTTAGTTGGTCATTTCAGCAACTCACTGATGCCATCTAGGGCCAGGTTCTTCCCATATTTTATCTGTCCCCTAGTAGCACATGGGCATTCATACTCAGGTTTGTCTACTCATGTTCACAAGTGGCTGTCACAGTTTCATTATTTGTGTTCTTATCCAAAGACTGCAAGTGTCAGGGGAAAGAATGAGTTTCCCTCATGCTTTTTTCCTTCTTTGCTATTCTAATAAACCTTTCTTAAGAAATGTCACCCGACATTACTTTGTGCAGCATTGGTCAGAACTTCTTACATGCCTATTCCTACCCCAAACACTTACAGCAACAACAAGGTGCAATTTTCTTGTGAAGCTTAAATTATTGTGACTCAGCTCTTCCCTGATTTGCTTGGTTTAAGGGGAATGAATAAAATCAAGTAGGAAGGTTGTGAATAGACAGGCCATTGCTATTCATATATATACTTTTTTTAAAATAAAAGGCTAAGTCAAGAAAATAGCAAGTAATAGCATCTGTTTTAAGAGACACAATGTGACAGAAGCATTTTTTCTAACATTTTACTAAATGTCAATGCTTTTTATTATTTTCTAACCTAACACAGACATGATTAAAATACCCTGGAAATTATGTAAGGTAAATATGTCTTGCATAGTGATATACAAGAACTATAAAAAAAGCTCTAAATAGCACAATCAGAGAGAGTTTGAATAAAATGTGTTTTGAAATACATACATTTTGGTAAATCAAAAACTATCTTGATAAAAGACATCTAGTTTTCCATCTTGGCTTGGTATTATATTAATTTGCTAAGGCTGCTGTAACAAAAAACAGACTATGTGGCTTAAACAATAGAAATTCATTTTCTCACAGTTGTGGAGGCCAGAAGTGCAAGATCAACGTGCCTGCAGGGTTGGTTTCTCCTGACGCTCGTCTCCTTGGTTTGCAGGTGACTGCCTTTTCACTATGTCCTCACGTGGTCTTTTCATGCACATTTCTTGTGTCTCCCCCTTTTCTTCTAAGGAAACATATTTTGGACGAAAGCACCACCCTTATCACTTCATTTAATCTTAATTACCTCTTTAAAAGTTATCTCCCAATATGGTCCCTTTGGAGTTTGCTCTTTTACATATGAATTTTTGGAGAACAAATTTTTTCCTAACAGGTATGTTTCTCTAGGATGATTGAGGTTGCTACCCATCTGCAAATTATGTTTTTTTTGCCTTGTTCTCACATTCCAAATTATGTTTTGTCAGCCCACAATGCACAGAAAATTCATAGGTGGATGGGGTGGGTTGATCTTTAGGAGATTATACATTACATATATATGTGTGTGTGTGTGTGTGTGTGTGTGTGTGCACGTATTACACATATTCCAAATATAAATATATATATATATATATACACATCCCAAATATATAAATATGTGTGTGTAACTCCCAAATCTACATATAAATGGAAATTTTTTTGAAAATAATTTAATTATACAAATATGACTTTTAAATCTCTTGGCCTAGGAAATATCACTAGTAAAAACAAACTGTGATACATTCAATCCTTTCATTAAAGATGTTATTATGGTGAGAAAGAGCGCTTAGATATCAGAATTTTAGTCTTGAAAAGCTGTCACGAATGCTGCATTTTTTCCCAACATTGTTATTAATTTAAGACATTCTGAACAAAGATGCCTGAAACAACTTTCTTGCAAAATTAATTTGGTAAGAATTAAATCCAGAAAGTATATGTCAAAATAAAAATTACAAACCACTGCTTTTCTCCTGACTGCATTTAGCAGTAAAGTATTAAATGGAATATTAAGAGCAACAATTAATGGGCTTAGTTTTTAAGCTGTCTGGTGGTGTGTAAGATTCACTACTTTATTGGCTATTAGAAAAATGACCAAATATTACTTTAGTTATTCTAAGTGACTATAGAACTGCCTGCTCAGCAATAGTGGCAAGAAGTACTTACTGAGCACTAACAGTTCTTACACTTTTATTTTGGAAAAATTACAATGTCTCAGGATGAAGTTTATTTAGTTTGAATAACATTTTTAAAATAGTATTATATTTTAAATGAATCTTTACAACTAAATTGTTTCAAGTCTAGATATGTTTGAAAAGTCATTTCTAACATCCCTGCTCCAGGATAATCAATCACATGAAAATGTTTATTTAATAATTCCATAAAAATGCTAATAGGAAATAGATCCATGGAAGGTAAGAACATTGCAAGAAAAACCTGCTGTTTTAAGGCAAATATTCTCCATAAGAAACAGCAATACATTATAAAACATACTATATTTGTTATCTTTTCATTTAAAAAGTATATAATATGCGCTTTGAATAAAATGTACATGTTCAGTGCACGTGAGATGACTGAAGAGGGGAGGACTTTTAGCAACTGGTGTCTGAGCTCTACAAGGTAGGAAGGGTAACAGAATATGAAATAATGGGAAAAGAATCCCGTCTTTAATGCAAGCTGCTGGCTGGATGTACTACAACACAACAGAAGGCTTTCTTCCAGGTTGTAGGAATTCTTTCTTTCGTTTAGTAATCTTAACTCTTCAGAAAATAACATGCCACTCTCTGTGGTCACAAAGCATTTCCTTTTTCTGTCTCTTAATAAAGGAGCTCTGGGATCAAGGTGATAAGACTCTTTATCGAGTGTTTTAGTGGCATAGGAAACAAGGGGGGCTATCGTTGCACCCTGCAGACGTGTTGTTGTGGTGTAAGTGCCTCTACTACATCAGCTCCACTGGACCTACTTTACTACATTCTTGTTTCAATGAGGTCAGACAACAGTAATTTGTTATGAGGGTCATGGCAGAATTCTTCTTCTAAACACTAGAAAGAATGACTCCTTTGTCAATATAAATTCATCCTAATGCATTTGGTCTCCCTGTAGGCTGTATTACACACTTGAGGGAACTCTTGTGTCACATTCTGCCACTCAGCATTATAATACCTTTTCATCTTGCTTTAGATTCACCTCTTTATAATAGAAGAGAACACACACACACAAGTAAAAGATACATTCGTTTTCATTTATTTTTCATATTGTACTTTTCAGACATTATCAAGATTGAACATCAGAAGAACAGGCATACTAACACAAACATTCCAAAGGACAGGAATAGAACACAACAGAAATGTTTCATTAGTAATTCAGCTCGTTCATATTTTTATCCCACAAAATTTCTTTCTTTAAATCTTTATAGATTTTTTTTCCAAATCAGCATGCATATGTAAAATCTGAAAACTGAAGTGGTAATCTCCCCCTCAAAATTGTAAACTGATACAACCAAATAAATACTGATTTCAGAATTATCTGGCTCAATATAGATATATTGTTCCATTTTATTAATATTATTCTAAATTTCCTATGTATAAAATTATTGCAGTTTCTAAGGTTTTATATTTAAATGTTATAAAGTAATCAGAATGAATGCATAATAAAAACTAAAATCTACATTACAAAGAAATTTTTGTTACATATGCTCGTAAACATTTTTTTCTCATCTCTTCACTCATAAAACAAAAAGACTTTGGGATTTTTGGAGTCTCTTCAAATATTTACTTATTTTTTATTATTTTTTCTATGTCACCTTAGCTTATTAAATCTTCACATTAGCCCTCCTTCCCTCTTCACCACCTGAAAAAAAGGTAAACATACACAGACTAACACATAATTCACAACTGATAAAAGATGGGTTATAAATGCTGGCTTTCACATTGGAGGATGTGATTCTTCTTTGACTCTTCTGAGAAAAAATTGAGGGTCAAAAAAAATTGAGGGTCAAAAAAGATTAGGTTTGAAGTGTTTGTGGGCTGCAGCTTTAAAAAGAAGGTTAACTTAGACAAACTGTAAAAAAAATGCTTTTCTCAAAAATCTGTATACATTAAAAGAAAAGACAATCTTGTTCTCAATGGGTCATAATACCCAGAGGCAGACAACCTTAGACAAGATGTTAAACACAGGTCATTTGTTTAAGATTCAAAAACACTGTACTTTTCTTTTGTCTGAAACCTACACTACATTTTAAAAGATCTTGTTATAGCAAGTACCTTTTAAATGTCTAAAATTGAGAGATTAACTCCAATTCCAAAATAGTCACTGATAATGTTCTTTGCGATACAAATCAGCACCAATGAATTAGTTCTCTGCTACTGTGCAATGGAATGTAGTTTAGAGAGCAAAGTGATGTATACATGTGCTTTCATTGAAACACTGATCGTGGAAGAATAGCTGGTGGATGCTGGGCTTAATACCTGGGTAATGGGATGGTCCTTGCAACAAACCACCATGGCACACGTTCACCTATCTAACAACCCTGCACATCCTACACGTGTACCCCTGAACTTAAGATAAAAGTTGGAAATAAAATAAAGAAACACTGATCATTATTAAATGTCTGATCTTTGAAGGTAAGTTTAATAGCAAAAAATTTTATTATTGAAAGATAAATGTCAGGTGGTATGCTAAGTAATGTGCAAATATGCCGTATTTTT